>NT_167245.2:240375-540375 GCF_000001405.40 Homo sapiens
GGCCATTAGCTTACAGGCAGCAATAAAACAGAGACTTTGATCCAACAACTGCAAACAACTGAATTTTGCCAATAATCTGAATGAGCAGAAAACAGATTCTCCCTTGGGGCCAACAGAAAGGAATGCAGCCTGCCAATACCTTGATTTTAGCACAGTGAGACCATACCAGACTTCTGTCTTAAAAAACTCTAAATAATAAATTTATGTTTTTTATAACCACTACATTTGTGGTAATGTGTTATGACAGCAATAGAAAACTAACACATGTCTTGAAATGCCAGCCGTTTTACTATTTCTTACAATTCTGTGAATAGACTGGGCTTACCTGGGTGATTCTGCTCCACATGATGTCAGTAAGGACTCCATTCCTCTGAAGGCTTGATTGAGCTAGGGATGTTCAAGATGGCTCACTCACATAACTGGCAGTGGCAGTTGATGTTGCTAGGACCTCAGTCAGTTGAGACTGTGACCCACAGTGCCTAGCCATGGCCTTTTCATGTGGCTTGGGTTTCTCATGGCATGGTGACTGGATTCTGAGAGGGAGCATCCCAAGATTTAGCATTCCAGAAAACCAAGTCAGAAGGTGCAAGATTTCACATGGCTTAGCCCTGGAACTGGCACAGTATCACCTCAATGAAATAATTTTGTTAGGTCAGCCAAGATTCACTGTGGGAATGGACTACAAAAGGGTGTAACGACCGAAAAATATGCTGCATTGAGGTCAGTTTTTGGAGACTGTATACTACACAAAGTAACGATTTTTTCCTTTGTAGCCTCATCTTTATCCTTTTTTTTTGTTTTTTTCAGATGGAGTCTCACTCTGTCACCCAAGCTGGAGTGCAGTGGCACAATCTCAGCTCACTGCAACCTCTGCCTCCAGGGTTCAAGCGATTCTCATGCCTCAGCCTCTCAAGTAGCTGGGATTATAGGTGTGTGCCACCACACCTGGCTAATTTTTGTATTTTTAGTGTGTGTCGGTGGCGGGGGGTCTCACCAAGTTGCCAAGGCTGGTCTTGAACTCCTGACCTCAGGTAATCCTCCTGCCTTGGCCTCCCAAAGTGCTGGGACTACAGGCCTCAGCCACTGCTTCATCTTTTTACTTTGGTCCATGAACCTTTGATTTTCTGCTCAGGTCTACTTGAACTAGGAACTAGTAATTTTCCCAGGCATTCATACCTTTTTAGCTTTGCTTCTGTCAGGACTTGATGGTAAAAATTTTTCCATGCCCTTCTTTATGTGCCTAATTATAGCTTATCTTTAAGACATATTTCAGGTAGCACCTCATCCAGTAAGCCATTCTTGTTCAGATTAGGTGCCTGTATTGGTGATCTTGTACACAGTACCCTGCCCTTACACCTATGGAAGAACTTAGGAGTAAATCTTCACTCTCACTGATTTACTTGTCTCTATTCTTTTTTAAAATTTATTTATTTATTTATTTATTTATTTATTTACTTTTTTGAGACGGAGCCTCACTCCGTCGCCCAGGCTGGAGTGCAGTGGCGCGACCTCGGCTTACTGGAAGCTCCGCTTCCCGGGTTCCCACCATTCTCCTGCTTCAGCCTCCCGAGTAGCTGGGACTACAGGTGCCCACCACCACGCCCGGCTAATTTTTTGTATTTTTAGTAGACACAGGTTTTCACCATGTTAGCCAGGATGGTCTCCATCTCCTGACCTCGTGATCTGCCTGCCTCGGCCTCCCAAAGTGCTGGGATTACAGGCGTAAGCCACCAGGCCCGGCCGTCTTCTATTCTTTAACAGGCCATAAGCTCCTTAGAGGAGTGCATTTTGTACTCTCAGATTCCCCAGGTAGACCTACTGTATATGGCACAGAAAAGGGTCTCAGTTAATGTTGGCTGACAGAAGGAGTGATTGAACAATTATCTGTACATATTTACCACTTACACAAGGTGGAAATGCACCCAACATGAAATCGTACAAATGTCATGGCTTCCACCATGGAAAAAATTATGTATGCGTGAGGACAAGAGCTAAAAAACAAGAAAGAAAATGTCTAGAGTCACTTGTGAGGCTGGAACTGTGGTTTTCTTTCTTTCCTTTCTTTCTTTCTCTGTTTCTTTCCTTTCTTTCTTTCTTCCTTTCTTTCTCTTTCTCTCTCTTCTTTCTCTCTCTCTTTCTTTCTCTCTCTTTCTCTTTCTTTCTCTCTCTTTCTTTCTTTCTTTCTTTTCTTTTCATGTTCTAATATTATAATGATGTGACAAGAACTTGTAGAACCATCAGGTCCAAAAGCATCAACAACCTTGTCACTTGCAGCGTGGGCTGCTGATCAGCAACACTGACCTAACCTGGGAGTTTCTCACAAATGCAGAATATCTACACCCCATCCTACACCTACAGCGTTAGAACTCTTCATTTTAGCAAGCTCCCCAGGTGATTTCATATACGTATTGAAGTCTGTGAAACCCACTCAACACAGTCCTTCACTCTTTCCCTTATTAAATTTACAGCTGTTTGTTTAATTGACCTTTTTGTAAAGGTTCCGAGGACAACATAGTAAGGGATGCTCATTCATCTCTCTGCCAGTGCTTTCTGCGGTCTCTTCAGCTAGTTCTATCAGGCACTTCTGGCAATCTGGAGCGGCAGCCGGCTGGGCGGCGAGGAAACCGCTGCACGGATCCCGCCTCCCAGCACACGCAGTCGGCAGTTGCAGCCTCCAAGACCGCGGTGCCACCAAACCAAGCGCCGGACGCGGTGGCGCGCGCCTGTAATCCCAGCTCCCCGGGAGGCTGAGGTCGGCGGATCGTGGGTGCTCGGGGGTTCGGAGCTACGGCGCTGTGTGGAGCGGGCGTCCGCACCGGGCCTGGCACCAACATGGTACTCCCGGGGGAGCCCGGGAGTACCAGGTTGTCTAAGGAGGGGGGGACCAGGCCCAGGCCGGACACGGAGCAGGTCAAACTCCCCGTGTTGGGCGACGGTGGGACCGCGCCTGCGAGCAACGCCTGCAGTTCCGCCCGGGACATCCGACGAGACCCGGTCTCTTTTAACTTCCCTTTTCGGGATTTCTTTTAAAAAATCAACAGCATTATTTCTGCATACCAAGTGAGTTCACTGGTGGGACTGGTATATGCTACCCTTTGCTCGATCTTCCTTTTTTTTTTTTTTACCCCTCAGGGAATGATGATTCATTCAGTCAGTGGGAGCCGGAAGAAACTCGTTAGTGACTTATCATCTTGGAAATTTCTCCATGTTGCACTCTTCCTTTCCCCAAACAACAAGACAGTAGTCTGTTTTGCATTTTGCAAATGCAGTTGCATAAGAATTTAACAAAGACTATTCGCTTGGCCAAACTTTAGTCAGGCTTCTGAATCTTCTGCTAGGCCCATCTGTGCACTTCCTTGTAACGTCCAGTTTTAGCAAAGAACCCTGCCAAGTCAGTTTAGCAAGAACCCCCATATCATCTATGTTTAACCTCCATTTCTGATCAGGCTCCTCATTCTCCACCATCCCCCAGATGATTGATGTCTGATTACCTTGGCCTGTCTTCAGCAAGAATCCTGTTAGGTTTGTTTGGCCAGAATTCCCCTTACCTCTGAGGTTTTCTCTTGGTAATTTCCTGTCCACTGACCAGGACACACTGCTCCTTGGCTATAAATTCCCATTTGCCCATGCTATATTCAGAACTGAGGCCGATCTCTTTCCCTCACTGCAAAACCTCCTTGCAATGGTCCCTTGTGCCTATCCCGATAGTCCTGAATAGTCTTCCTTACATTGCTTTCAGAAGTATCACTAAATAATTTTTTTAAAAAACAAATTGCATGGCATGAGAACTTCATAATCTAAGACAGAGATTTGGAAAAGGTTTGAACTTCCAGCTTTTTCAGGAACTTCCCACATAAAAACCTGTACACAACTATTCTTATCGGATTGGATAAAACACCTAAAGAGACATTTCACCGAAGAAGATATACAGATGGCAAACGAGCACATAAAAATGTTTTCAACATCCTTAGCACTAGGGAAATACAAATTACGACCAAGATGAGATATCACTATACATCTATCAGAATGACTAAAATAAAAATAGTGGCAACAACCAAATGCTGATGAGGCTGTATACATGTAGGTGGGAATGTGAAATGTAGCTGTTCTGGAAAACAGTTGGCAGTTTCTTAAAAAGCTAAATGTGCAAGTACCATACCACCCGGCAGCTGCACTCCTGGACATTTATCTTGGCTAAACGAAAATTTATATTAACACTAAAACCAGTATGCAAATGTTTATGGTAGCTTTATTTGTAAAAGTCAAAAGCTGAAAATGACTCAAATGTCTTTCAGCAGGTGAATGTTCAAACTGGTAAATTCATACCACAGAATGCTAGTGAGCGAGAAATAAGAATGAACTACTGATGCTGAACAACCTAGATGAATCTCTAGAGAATTACACTGAGTGCAAAAAGCCAATCCTAATAGGTTACATAATGTATGATTCCATTTTCATAACATTCTCGAAATGATGAAATCATAAAAGTGAAAAACAGATTACTAGTTGCCAGAGGTTGAGGCAGGAACAGTAGGCAAGTGGGTGTGGCTGTAAAAGGGCCAAAAGGAATCCTTGTGGTGATGGAAATGTTTTGCATCTTGACTTTATCAATATCAATATCAATATCCGGATTGTGATTTTGTGCTATAGTTTTGCAAGATGTTACCATTGGGGGCAAGCAGGTAAAGGGGACATGGGACCTCTCCATATTATTTCTTATAACTGCATGTGAATCTACGACTACCTAAAAATTAAACATTTAATTTAAAAAAAGACCAAAGTCATTAAAATTGGAGGGATAGGGAGCTGAAAGGGAAGAGCAAGAGAGTATGGAGAAAAATAATGGAGAGTCAAGTTGATACAGGAGATACAAAGAAATTGCTTAGGTAGTTAGGGCAAAAGAGTCCTCGGCAGAACTTCTCTTCTAACAAAAAGCAGCCCTAGAAATTATTCCTTTTCTAACAAAGAGCAGCCTGCAAGATGGAGCTGCAGACATAGATAAGGAAGCTGGAAACTTGCATGGGGGAAGGCTGGCAGCTGCACCGATAGAAAAGGTCTACCTGGGGGTGAGGCATGTCCACCATGAGGCTCCACCTTCCCTTTTTTGTTAGCATGTGTACAGTAAGAAAGAAATGGGCAACATGGAGAAGTTCAGGCAGAGAACCCACCTGCATAATAACAGATTGGGGTGAGGGTTGCCAGAGATTCACACCCTATGCAGTTGGCACACCTGGTCCTATCTGGGTTTTTCATGCCTTATGTAGATCAGACACCATCTCCCCACTAGCTCATCTGTAAAACCCCCTGCATTTCACCGAATTTCGGCAACCCATTTTTCCAGGACCCCTCTCTGTAGCAGAGAGATATTTTCTTTCTTTCGCCTATTAAATTTCCACTCTTAACCTCTCTGTGTGTCCAGGTCCTTGATCTCTGTGGCTGTGAGACGATGAATCTAGGGTGTCACCCCAGACAACGAGGCTGCTTCAAAATCCCAAAGTCCAAAGGAGGACTGCTTCATAAGGGAAGGATTGTTTATAGGTTGGTATACTGTGCAAAATTAAGTATAGGACCAAAAACAGCCAAGACATTTGAAAGTTGGAAAGTTGATGGTAATGGTTTCCTGGGATTGGAAGGCAGACCTCCTCCGCTGATGAGCAAATAATGAGGTAAACATTGTTCTTTCAACAGGTTTGGTGCTGAGTGGAAGGAAAGAGTCTGAGGATAATGCATAAGGTCATGTGTTCCATTTTTGTTGTCCAAAGATAGAGGTTTAGACATTCTGTAATTTGAAGAGAGGCACGTAAGGAGGAGAGAGATGAAAGACACAAACATAGAGCAAAATGGAATGGGTAGAGGGTTCAAAAGCTCAGATGGAATATTAAGTAGACTTGGAAATGAGAGACCATTCCTCCGAGTAGGAAGACAGGGGTTGAATATGCCAAGAGCTAGCAAATTAGGAGGTTAGGAAAAAGGTGGCTGAGGGAATATGCTGGCTGTCTCCCTTTCACAGCGCAGCAGCCACCCCTCCCCTCCCCCACCTCTAGCAAGTAGCCACTTTTTCAACAGCTTAGGCGGCTCCTTTTTCCAGGAAACTTCCCTTCAGTTCACCGGCCGTGCCTCTCTCTATCCTTTTCCTCGGAGCAGGCTGTGCTATGATCAAGGCATTGTGACCCCTGTGACCCACACGTACACATCCAGAAGGTCTCCTGGAGCCAGAAAGTCTGGGACAACAGGAAAACCACAAAAGAAGAAAAACAGCTCCTGTCTTAGCTGATTAGCCAACCTTGCGACCTTCTACCATTGTAACATGCTCTACCCTAACTGATCAATCAACTTCGTGACACTGTGCTCTGTGACCCCTCCCACCTTGTGATAATGTACCTTGTGACATTCTTCCCTTGCCCGCAATAAACGGGCCCTTATTGTATCTTTCCACTGCTTACTCCTAACCTATAAAACTAGCTGCAATCCCACCACCCTCCGGTGGTGGGACTCCCTTTTCGGACTCAGCCCGCTCGGACCAGAGTGAATAAACAGCTTGTTGCTCACACTTAGCCTGTTCAGGTTGTCTCTTCAGTTAGACGCGCGCATAACACTAACAATTCACTTAATAAATATTTATTGAGGGAACAGAGGTCGCAAATAAAATGTAATTAGTATTGCTCAAGATTAAACTTCTTTCAGCACGTTTGCCTTTTCTTCTTTTATCTAGTGAGATGTTGAAACCCATACCTAGAGTTCTGCTACAGAAATAAACGTATCCCACAGTGTTCTTGCGATTTCCTTTATGAATTTGAGAAAAATATGACCCCATTTTAGGTTCTAAGGAGTGTTTCTGTATTGTAGAAGGAAAATTCCATATTTGTATTGCCGTGGGCACAAAAAACCGAGCGCTCTCATGCCGAAACCCGGGATCGAACCAGGGACCTTTAGATCTTCAGTCTAACGCTCTCCCAACTGAGCTATTTCGGCTCCGCCCACGCCACTTAAAAATAAGGCTTAATGAATTTATTACTTATGTTTTTTATTTACTATTAGGTATTTATTAAAAAAAAAACCCACAATGACAGGTACTCCGAAGGAACCAAAGACAAATTAAAAAATTATTTCGTTCTTCAAATGGCTCACCACTTTATGCAAAGAAAAGCAAGAAGACAATTACAAATTGATGCTACAATTTATTCTCGGTTGAATGCACACATCGAAACAGAGCACGTTCCATCATCCAGTTACGAACTTCCCAAATTACTCTTATGGCATTGCCACGCCCTCTGCCGTCCAGATTTTATTGGTTGGTGCAAAACAGGAGGTCAGTGAATACGAGAGCATGACCGTGCACTAACTCGTCGGAAAAGTAGAAGTCAACTGTGTGCGTATGTGTTGAGTTCTCGCTTCATAAATATGTTTTAATAAACCTACTTCAGCTTCCCTGGTGGTCTAGTGGTTAGGATTCGGCGCTCTCACCGCCGCGGCCCGGGTTCGATTCCCGGTCAGGGAATGAGGTTTTTCTGTTTTAACCTCCAAATTCTTTCATCCAGGAACGAAATCTCTGAGTAAACAGCAAATTGTGGATAAGTTAACTTTCAATTTTCATAGGAGGCATTTTCTGCATAGAAACCCTGTTCCTGTTTTAGTATTCCAGGTACAAAATGACAAGCAATGTAATTTTCAATTATTTTAAAACATTTATTAATGAATACTTAATCTAGCGTAGACCGAGTGTCCGGCATTGTTCTAAGTAAGCGCTTTAACATTTTTAACTCAATTGGGTGATTCAGTAAGCGGGAAATTCCGGAGACAATCCATTAGGAGTTAGTTGAGATTAGCATAACCTTTTGAAAAGACAGTTATGAAGATGACAGAGAAGAAATGGCGAAGTCATTTCTGGGAGATTTGATCGCTGTGTTCAAGCTTCTGAAGCTGCTAGAGCCTCGGTGGTTTAGACACCTACTCTATCTTCCTCGGATTTCTCTGTAAGTTTCACGCTGCTCCAACTGGGCGCTAGGGGATAGCCCTAGAAATACCTACACAGTAATTTAATATTCTGGGCCAAAGCAGTTTCAGGACTGCTTCATCTCTCCAGCGCTTCAACCTTTTTTCCCCTATGAAGGTACAAATTATGTTTTTTTCCTAAGAGAGGATAGGAGAAGGTCATAAACATGAAATTAAAACCTGCTGTCACAAAACTGAGAAACAGGCAAACAATGAATTCAGCACCATCTCTGAATGCACATTTGGTAAATTTACCGAGAGCTACTGGAGAAAAAGCAGACTTTTTGTTTCTCTCCTGACAAGGTTTGGTGACCCTGTGCTAACTGGTTCCTGTCTGACAATATCGGGGCATGAATCTTTGTTTCTTGGTCTGTCTAAAGAGCAGCTATTGCTTATTATTTCTTTCTTATATCTGCTAAGAGTTTGGGGCACGTATGACTTCTCTACAAGTTTCCAAACAAAGATCGTGGTGCTCCTGATCTTATTTCACCAACAAATGGAATATGTGATTTTTTGTTTGTTTTTTGAAATGGAGTCTCTCTTTGTCGCCCAGGCTGGAGTGCAGTGGCCCGATCTCAGCTCACTGCAACCTCCGTTTCCCGGGTTCAAACAATTCTCCTGTCTCGGCCTCCCGAGTAGCTGGGATTAAAGGCACGTGCCACCACTCCAGGTTAATTTTTGTATTTTTAGTAGAGACGCGGTTTCACCATGTTGGCCAGGCTGGTCTCGAACTCCTGATCTCAAGAGACCCACCCGCCTCAGCCTCCCGAAGTGCTGGGATTACAGGCGTGAGCCACCGCTTCCAGCCAGGATGTGATGTTGTTATGATCCAGTTAAATGAAGCAGGACTTTTTCTAATTAATTGCACTTTCTCTTCTCTTCCCTGGCTCCATATATTCACAGTTTCCAAAACTTCCTTGAGATGGGACACTCTTTTGTCATCTTGTCAGTTCTGTCCTTGAATTAATAAACTTTGACACATACATAAGATCAATTTGACTAAGAAATCTTATTTTGACATAGACATAAAAGTAATATGGTTTGTAAAATTCCTGTATATACGGAAGCCTTTTAATCTAATGTTTCATAGGAATTCAACCCTCTAGGCCTGCTGGTGATCAGTTCTTGAAAAGCACCCTCTTTTCGTGATATCACACGTTGTCTCCTCTATGTGCAGCAAGAATCTCTTGCTTCATTAGTTTTTATGCCTCTGCTTTCAGAAAACAGTCTGGTTGGGACCCCTGTGAAAGGAACTGTCTGGCTTAACTTATCTTGATTAATGCCTCTTTTTTTCTTTTCTTTTCTTTTCTTTCATTTTCCACATAAAGCTAATTGGATTAGAGAAAAAGAACTCTTCTTCGAATGCTACCAGTTTCTTTCCTTCTCATCTGAGCTATTATTCATTGTCCATAGGAAAAAAAATTCCCTAATTTTGGCACGGTAGGTTCTGTTTATTCACCAGACTTGCTACCGTTTACTCGTCAGCTCAGAGAGAACGTCGAAAAAATATAACAAAACCAAAATATGCATCAAGACAAGAGGAGGAAAGAGAATGTGAAAGACTACTAAAAAAAAAAAAAAAAAAAAAAAAAGTCAACAGCTAGGGTCAAGGAATCAATCTGCAAATATTCAGAGCCAGTAGGCTTGTACTACACTAGTCACTATGGAAAATGAAAAATGACCAAGACAGAAATCTCACCTCTTAACACCCCCCAAATCCCAATTTTCTCAACTGTAAAATGGGAATAAAAGTATTACAGTATTTACTATATAAAGTTGCGATGAGTCAATAACATAATACACAAAAGCAGTCAGCCAATTATCCAAATCCGTGTTATTAATATTATCATCATCATCATTCTTCTCACCGTACTTGGGGAATGAAGGAGACAGATACTGTGAGTAAGTTTTCCTTTTTTTTTTTTTTTTTTTTTTTTTTAGACAGAGTCTCGCTCTGTCGCCCAGGCTGGAGTGGAGTGGCGCCATCTCGGCTCACTGCAAGCTCTGCATCCTGGGTTCACGCCATTCTCCTGTTTCAGCCTCCAGGTAGCTGGGCCTACCGGCGCCCGCCACCACGCCCGGCTAATTTTTTGTATTTTTAGTAGAGACGGGGTTTCACCGTGTTAGCCAGGATGGTCTCGATCTCCTGACCTGGTGATCCGCCCGCCTCGGCCTCCCAAAGTGCTGAGATTACAGGCGTGAGCTACCGCGCCCCGCCAAGTGAGTAAATTTTCTATTGGGCACAGAGTTACCTGCTAAAATGAAGTGTGGAAAAATACAATGGGGTGTGTGTATGTGAGAGAGAGAGGGAGATTTGGAGGTGGGGTGGGGAAGACCCTATTTGAAGTGGGCTTTGAAGAATGAACAAGATTTTTATTAGGGAACAAAATGGAAACCAGCATTCCAGGACAAGCGTCTCAGGAGAAGCAAAAGCGCAGAGTTGTGAAAGCTCTTAGATTTTCAGAACTTTGAATTCTGAACTATATATAAACCTGGAAAATCTCGGTTAACTATGGGATGGCATCAAGATTTCAATTTCAAGCTTTCTGGTCATGCACAGTAAAGCTGGAATTAGAGTCTCTTACGTATGGCAGTTGTTGACAAGTCCGTACAGGTACCTAAGTGCTTCCCAGAAAATTCCTCAAGTTGGTAGGTCCTGGGGGAATCAGTTTAGTTCTAAAGAGAGGACTCATCAGAGATCTGTTCAACTTCCAGGAATCTGTGAGGATAGCTCCAAATCTCACTCTCATGCCCAGCCTATCAAACAAAGCAAACCGGTTGGACTGAAGCTGTGGGATCGGGACTGAAATAGAACCAGCGAGAAAGGCAGTCCTCCTCGATTCCTAGAGAGAACACATTCAGCCAGCAGTTGGATAGAGGATACTAGCAAGTCCCTCGCCAGGGCGGGGGAGCAGAGACACATTCCTGTCCCGTTTACATTCTTCCTCTGGCGGAGGCGGGAGGGTCGCTTGAAGCCTCGGATTTCGAGATCAGCCAGGACAAAAAAGCGAGACCCCCGTTTCTACCAAAAAGGGGGGGGGGTGGGCGGGGGGAAGAGAGAGAGAGAGAGAAAGGAAAAGAAAGAGAAAGAAAAGAAAGAAAAACTAGGCGCGGTCACGTGTACGTGTAGTTCCAGCTGCTCGGAGGTTGAGGCGGGAGGATCTCTTGAGCCCAGAAGTTCGAGGCCGCAATGAGCTCTGATCGTGGCAGAGCGAGGCCCTGGCTCAAATACATACATACTTTGTTCTGACTTTGTGTGCCCTTACTCTTTCCTCAGGTGCACGCTTGGGCTCGTTACTGCTCAGAATTTTAGAATCACAGATCCAGCAGTGATCAGGCAGCTGCAGCTGTCAGGGACCACCACCACCTACGCGATTGATCCGTGGGAGAAGCCGTCCTACTCTTTTCTTTCTCCTTTGTCCTTCTCATTCCTGACCCCTTCAGGATTCTCAGTCTTCCCTCCGGGAGGTAGGGATTCTACGGAGAGAGAAGGGTTGTGGGGCTTGTTCTGTTGCGGGTTCAAACCCAAATTGTCTTTTTCTTTTCAGACTTTTGGCCAGTCTTGTCTCGCTCCAACCTCCTACCCCCACCCCATTCCTCAGTGCATTCGTGAATTTCTCCAAGCAGGCCTTTCCAGATCGACACTAAGTTCCAATCCCGAGCTGTGTGACCCAGCACCAATTCAGTCACGATGATGACTTGCAATTGCTTAATCAGTTGGCCTTTCCTCCTAGCTGTGAAGGTGAGGACCGCCGGTGTCAGCGTTCGTCCTGAATACTCAGTGCCCAGGCACAGAGTAGGCATTCAGTCAATACTTGTTGAACGGGTTAATGGATTCCTGATGTTCACTGGTTGATATCGTCACTTTCAAATAATTTCTCCCATTTTTCTGTTTTGTTTTCACCCTCCTAGTTTACCGTGCAGGATTGCAAACACCAGAGAGAAAATCAGTCTCTGGAATGATGCCTTTGATGGACCAAGATGCAGCTGATGAAGCATTGAACCAATTAGCACCTAGCAGGAGGGCACCCTTGCTCTGTGTCCTTGAAGGTTAAAGCTGTCAAAAAGTGGTCTCCCTCAAGTTCGGCCATCTTGCTCTCAGAGATCTAGAACTGGTAGGAGAATATAGCCTTGATAGTGGAGAGGAAACTATTGCTGTTGTGAGGGACTGAGAGAACCAGGCAGAGAGCCCAGATTGACACAGCAGGTGACAAAAGAGGCGCGCCTACCTTGGGGAATACGGAGGAACAGAGGAAAGTGAGACCAGGAGAAAGAGCAGGGGGGCGGGTGTGCAGGCCGGGCGCCGTGGCTCACGCCTGTAATCCCAGCACTTTGGGAGGCCAAGGCAGGCGGATCACAAGGTCAGGAGTTCGAGACCAGCCTGGCCAATATGGTGAAACCCTGTCTCTACTAAAAATACAAAAATTAGCTGGGCGTGGTGGCGAATGCCTGTAGTCCCAGCTACTCGGAAGGCTGAGGCAGGAGAATCGCTTGAACCCGGAACCCGGGAGGCAGAGGTTGCAGTGAGCCGAGATGGCGCCATTGCACTCTAGCCTGGGCGACGGACTGAGACTTCGTCTCAAAAAAGGGAGTGACTGTGTTGCTTTTGCTTTCTTGGAAATCTTTTTTCTTAGTAATTTTCCTAAAGTAATTTCCTTAGGAAATAATGTATTGCTAAGAGTATTGCAACTTTTAGTATTGACGAGGTACTTTTACTGAATCAGTATAAGTCAACAAGCAACCACCAGAAGCTGGAAAAGGCCAGGATAGGATTTTACTCTAAAGTTTCTAGAGGGAGCTGGACGCAGCCCACACCTTGATTTTGGCCCACATACTGATTGTGGATTTCTGGCCTTCAGAAATACATATCTGTTGTAAGAGAATACATATCTGTTGTTTTTAGACAGTTTCTGATAATTTGTTACAGTAACCACAGGAAATTAACACCAGGCACTATGCAGTAAATTCCGTATGAACAACTCAAATATAAGAATTTGTAAGACAGCCGGGCGCGGTGGCTCACGCCTGTAATCCCAGCACTTTGGGAGGCGCGGTGGCTCACGCCTGTAATCCCAGCACTTTGGGAGGCGCGGTGGCTCACGCCTGTAATCCCAGCACTTTGGGAGGCCGAGGCGGGCGGATCACCTGAGGTCGGGAGTTCCAGACCAGCCTGACCAACATGGAGAAACCCCCATCTCTACTAAAAATACAAAATTAGCCGGGCTTGGTAGCGCATGCCTGTGATCCCAGCTACTCGGGAGGCTGAGGCGGGAGAATTGCTTGAACCTGGGAGGCGGAGGTTGCGGTGAGTCGAGATCGCGATATTGGACTCTAGCCAACTCCATCTCCAAAAAAAAAAAAAAAAAAGAATTCTAAGACAGCATAGTTTCCACTGGCATATTGGATAAAAACTTCCGTCAGCAGTGATTTTAATGAAGATGAATGACAAAACAATAAGAAACTCCAGCGCTAGTTAACTTTCTTTATTATGATCTTATTTGTCATAATTTTTTGCACAATGCGTTTTTATTTTAGGACTCAGTCAAAATTTTGGGCCAAGGAGACCGACGCGCTGTCGCCTGCACTAAGAGAAACGCAACGAACAACTTTGTCAATGCATTGCATTATACTATAGCAGCAACTATACTTTTAAATGATTCGAATCTTGAGGTTTCAAACTGAACCGTCTTGTGCCTTTTGCCCGGCGGGCATTTCTGCGGGGACCGCGGGTCACCTTCTGAATTTTTACCTTCATAAACAGCAAGGACTGCGCTCTTTCGCACGGCGCCCCGTTTTTTCGTAGAGTTCCGTCGGCCAAAACCACTTGAAACTCGCTCAGCGGCGTCGGGGCTCCAGCCAGGCGTCACCTTCCACAGCGAACCTGCGAACCACAGCGTCCCCTGGGGGTCTCCGTCCGCGTGGCCGCTTCCTCTTACATCGGTGACGCAAGGGAAGGGCGTCTAGGATCCGCCGGTTTCCTTCCTCACTGCTCCCATCAGTGCGAAAGCAACGTGTTGGGGGTTCGGGGTGTGTGGCGGCTGAACAGCTGCCTGAAGTTCTCTGATGGCGCTGGAGGGAGCTCCAGAGAAGAGGTCATGGGGAGAAGGCACACCTTAAACGCCCCGGGGTGGGGGGGGGGGGCGACATTCCCTAATGGGAAAAAAGACACACCTTAAACGCAGTAGAGGGCGACATTCTCTACTAGGGAAAATGCGGAAGAACACAGTTGTAATCAACGGTAGCGTGGCCGAGCGGTCTAAGGCGCTGGATTAAGGCTCCAGTCTCTTCGGGGGCGTGGGTTCAAATCCCACCGCTGCCAAGTACTTTTCATTCTCACTAGGGACTGTTTTTAGGAGAATCCCTTTCCAAATGTTCAGTATGAATGGTTCTTACGTATCAATCCCATTCTCCTCTTCGACTTCTGTTTACCACGGAGCCAGAGATAACCGTCCCCAGAACAATGTTCCCCCATTATTTAGAGGACAGTGTACTCCAGGCGCCTCAGATACAGCAATGAGTGACACAAGCAAAAAAACCCTTAATGGCACATACTTAGTGAGGTGGCACGATCTCGGCTCACTGTAACCTCCGCCTCCCCGGTTCAAGCCATTCTCCTGCCTCAGTCTCCCGAGTGGCTGGGATTACAGGTGCGCGCCACCACGCCCTGGCTAATTTTTGTATTTTTAGTAGAGACGGGGTTTCGCCATGTTGGTCAGGCTGGTCTCGAACTCCTGGCCTCAAGTGATCCTCCCTCCTCGGCCTCCCACAGTGCTGGGATTACAGGCGTGGGCCACCGCACGCAGCCTGAAGGATTAATTTATGTTTGGAATCAGCTGCTGTTCTTCCTCCAGCCTCTCTGTAGTGTGCTCACTTCACACTTGGAACCATAGTTATATGGTATAGAGAAGAGACAACTCTAGGGAAAGTGCCAGTGCCTTGCCTTACCTTACAACTGCCAGACACACCCAGTCAGGTACCTTCTCTGTGGGCTTCTCAGTACCCCGTATCTCTGTGGTTGCCGGGGGAGCCCTATCTCTCCTCGGAGCAGTTCTCTCTGCATACTTCTGGTCTGTCTCTCATTCTCTAGACCTCAGCTTGGAAGTTGTTTCTCCTTGGAAGCCTTCCCTCATCTCCTTCTCTTCCTCTTTCCAGCTTCATAAAGTTTGGGAGGGTATGGAGAGGATAAGGAAGGGAACAGCACAGAACGTCCTTGCCCCACGGAACTCAGAGTTTAGTGGGGTTCTCATGGGGGTTCACAAGGATTAGATAAGTTATTGCCCTAATATGGGGCAAACTCTACTAAAAAGGAGATAGCTTTCTATGTGTAGATTTTGAATGATGTTCCAGATTTAAGAGAATAAAAAGAAAATAATATGAATTGTATGTTAGAAAGAAGGACTGTCACAGAATTGTTCCCAACTGGGATTACAGGTGCAGGCCACTAGGTCCGGCTAATTTTTGTATTTTTAGTAGAGAGGGGCGTTTTGCCATGTTGGCCAGGCTGGTCTCAAACTCCTGACCTCAAGTGATCCTCCCACCTGGGACTCCCCAAGTGCTGGGATTACAGGTGTGAGCCACCACGCCTGACCACCTTTATTGATTTTTGAATGCTAATCCAACTTCTCCATGCTAGAATAATCTTAACTTGTTCAAGACATGTAATCTTTTAAAAAATGTATATTCCTGGATTCAGTTTGTTACTATCTCAAGATTTTTCTCACTACATTCATGAATGATAATAGCCTGTAATTTTCTTTTTTAAAAAATTTCCTTGTGTTGTTTGTTTTTCCTCATCGTTCCCTAATGGTTTGGTATTAAGGTTATACAGGCCTCATAAAATGAGTTTAACATTGGGATTATTTTCCCTTGCATGTTTAGTAGAATTAACTGGTGAAAACATCTGACCCTTGAGTTTTCTTTCTGGGAATATATATTATAGGTTCTATTTAAATAATTGGTATCAGACTATTCAGATCTTATATTTTTTTCCTGTACTAGTTTTAGAAACAAGAGTCTTCCTAAGGAAATATACCAGATGAACCTGGAAAATCTTTTCACCAGAAAGCAAGGAGGCTACTGAAGACTACTTTAGTCATGTTAAACAAAAAAGGCTTGTGCTGACACCTATGAAGTAGTCTTACCCAAATCAAATCTAAATATAGAATTTGATAAAGCCCTTAGATCTAACTATTAATTTTTAGGACATGCAGGGGCAGAGGAATGTGTTAAATACTACCAAAGGTGTGCAATAATTAAAATCCAAACTGTGAAACTCTGCAGCACCAGCAACCTAGTTAATCATTAAATAAATTTCAAGAAAAAAGAGATATAGGGAGAACTTATATATTAAAATACTTAAGATACATACCAACTAATCACAATGTATTGACCTTATTTGAATACTTTTTTTTTTTTTTTTCTGAGACAGTGTCTCACTCTGTCACCCAGGCTGGAGTGTGGTGGCACAATCACGGCTCACTGCAGCTTTGACCTCCCAAGCTCGTCTCCCGAGTAGCTGGGACCACAGTCATGCACCACCATGCCTGGCTAATTTTTGAATTTTTTGTAGAGACAGGGTCTTGCTATGTTGCCCAGGCTGGTCTTGAACTCCTGAGCCCAAGTGATCTTCTTGCCTTGGCCTCCCAAAGTACTGGGATTACAGGTGTGAGCCATGGTGCCTGGCTTGGTTTTTTTTAATGTTAAGAAAAAATGGCATTAGAGAAAAATTTGAACAGCGAATGAATCTTTGATGATGTTGCCAAATAGATAATTTTGTTTAGGTGTGATAACTGTACTAGTGTTAGTTTACTTATATTTTTGGTTTGTTTTTTAGAGATGGGGTCTTGCAATATTGCCCAAGCTAACCTCAAACTTTAGGGCTCAAGGAGTCCTCCCACTTCAGCCTCTTAAGTAGCTGGGACTACAGCATAGGCCGTCGTGCCCCTGGCTCTATTATTAGTTTGTTAGTTAGTTTGTTTGTTTGTTTATTTATTTATTTATTTATTTTGAGACTGAGTCTTGCTCTGTCGCCCAGGCTGGAGTGCAGTGGCGCGATCTCGGCTCACTGCAACCTCTACCTCCCGGGTTCAAGCAATTCTCCTGCCTCAGCCTCCCGAGTAGCTGGGATTACAGGCGCCTGCCACCACGCCTGGCTAATTTTTGTATTTTTAGTACAGGCGGGGTTTCACCATGTTGGCCAGGCTGGTCTTGAACTCCTGACCTCAGGCAATCCATCCACCTCAGCCTCCCAAAAGTGCTGGAATTACAGGTGTGAGCCACCGTGCCCGGCCCATATTGTTAGTTTTTTTAAACAGTCATTATCTCCTATAGACAATTAAATACTTATGGATGAAACACAATTTCTGTCATTTGCTTGAAAATAATCTTAAGCAGAGGGAATGGGTGGGGATACAGATGAAACAAGATTAACCCTGACGTAATAATTGTTGAAGCTGAATGATGTGTACATGGAGTTCATTTTTCTATTGCCTTAACTCTTGCATGGGTTTGAAATGTTCTATAATAAACTTTATTTTTTATTTATTTATTTTTTTGAGATGGAGTTTCGCTCTTATTGCCCAGGCTGGAGTGCAATGGCACAATCTCGGCTCACCACAACCTCTGCCTCCCGGGTTCAAGCGATTCTCCTGCCTCAGACTCTGAGTAGCTGGGATTACGGGCAAGCGCCACCATGCCTGGCTAATTTTTGCATTTTTAGTAGAGACAGGGTTTCTCCATATTGGTCAGGCTGGTCTTGAACTCCTGACCTCAGATGATCTGCCCACCTCAGCCTCCCAAAGTGCTGGGATTACAGGCAGGAGCCACTGCGCCCGGCCAATACATTTTTTTTAATAGAGGAGGACTATAAAACCTATGGGAAGCTCTGATGGCACGACTATGACTTGCTGATGTTCACTACAGGTTATCTGGCTAGGCCACTTGCTGAGAAACTCCTGATGTATCTTCAAGTCTATTCTGGTTGGATTTCTCACTGAAAACTGCGTCTTTTGTCTGGGAGGTGAAAGCCAGACCCTCATCTTTCTGGGAGATAAGGAAAGTAGGCTGGAGGCGTTGACATTCAGTATGCTCCTTTTTCAAATGGAATTCCTGTCCTCCATGTGTCTAGCCCACATATCCTTTGTTTAACCTTCTTCAGAAAATAAACCTCCAGTCTTCTTTGGGCTTGAGGACCTAGGACTCTGCTTGCTTCCTAAATAGCCTCTGACAGACTCTCCTCGTTTTAGTCTATTCATTCTCATTTCCAGGGGTACATGGTGCCACCAATTCTTGAGTCGCTTAAAGATTCTATGATGTAAAATAAATGTCTTTTTTTTTTTCTTTTCTTTTTTAGAAGGAGTCTCACTCTGTTGCCCAGACTGGAGTGCAGTGGTGCAATCTCGGCTAACTGCCACTTCCGCCTCCCACTCCCCAGTAGCTGGGACTACAGGCACGCACCACCAAGCCCAGCCAATTTTTCTATTTTTAATAAAGAGACAGGGTTTCACCATGTTGGCCAGGCTGGTCTCAAATTGCTGATCCCAAGTGATCTGCCCATCTCAGCCACCCAAAGTGCTGGGATTACACGTGTCAACCACGGTGCCCGGTCAGATTTGTCCTTTACTTGCCCCCTTCAGGCTAAAATTTAGCTTTCTCAAATTCAATGTCATTATTACTTATCCTTTTTTCAGTTTCCAAAATTTTGTAGTTGCCTCTTCTGCCATTCTTCCTGATTATGAATGGTTTTACTGTAGCATTAGTGTAGTTCTGAGGGGGAGCAATACCAAATACACGTAGTCAAGCTACAATCCTTACCAAGAAGTATCTTATCATCTTTCTTAAACTTAAATGAAATTGGCATTCTCCATTTCTTTTGTGAAGGTAAAAATAATCTCATATCAGTGTTCTGGTAAAAATTTTGTGTTTGCACGTGGAATGTAATTCGATTTAAAAAGTGAGTTTTACCTGGTGATTTTTGTATGTAAATTATAACTTAGACTAACTCTTGTTTGGTAACTCTTCAGAATTAGAACTACAGATATCTTAGGGTTTCAAGCAACATGTTTTGTCATTCAACTATGCACCTGACCTTCGAATTCCTTCAGTATTATTCTTACCAAACTTATTACCTTATGGCAGAATCTGTTCCAGTTGAGTATCTCCTAAATGTACAGATGTCCTGTAGCTTCTACTTGTGGATTGTAATTCTATTCTGGGATAGTTGCAGAACAAGATTAACCCACTGTTCATAAAGTAGTCCTTCAGAATTTTCAAGACATATCTTTTTCACCAGGTAAAAATCTAAAATTTATTCAAATACGCTCTCAAAATATTCATTTTATGTGTTTAGGAAACATCAAAAGACTTCTGGAGGTCAGACTAGTAATTTCTTTTTTTTTTTTTTTTTTTTGAGATGGAGTCTTGCTGTGTTGCCCAGGCTGGAGTGCAGTGACACGATCTTGGCTCACTGCAACCTCTGCCTCCAGGGTAGCTGGGACTACAGGCGTGCACCACCATGCCTGGCTAATTTTTGTATTTTTAGTAGAGACAGGGTTTCACCATATTGGCCATGCTGGTCTCGAACTCCTGACCTCGTGATCCTCCCTCCTCAGCCTCCCAAAGTGCTGGGATTACAGGCATGAACCCCCGTGCCTGACTCTTATCTGTGATTTCTAAACCTGTTCTCTCCCTGCCTCCCTTTTCACTTTGAATCTTAGCAATCCTGATACAATATGGAGAAGTACCATTCTAGCTTTATGTTAAAAAAATTGCTAAAAATGATTGGTGTTTATAAATTACAAACTGTTTTCTGCTGAACTGAGGTATAACTTCATGTCGGAAAGATGTGGTGCACGCATATGGGAATTGCCTAGGAAAGCCTGAGCACAGAATTTACTAGTTACGTGATCCTGGGCAAGTTTGTTAATCTTTCTGTGCCTCAAATTCCTGATCTCATAGGGATGTTGTATGGATTTAAAAAGTTTAAATGTGTAAATCCCTTAGAACAGTGCCTAGAACACAGCAAGCACTAATAAGTGTTTATTAATATTAGGAAGTGATTGATAAACTCTTGGAAGTAAATGTGCTCACTGAAAAAATAGTGAATAAGAAGGTAAAGGACAATGTCTTTGGGGAATCTCACAATTAAGGGTCAGGAAATCAGGAATAACTAATATAAGAGACAGAAGGACCAGCCTAAGAGGTAGGAAAAACAGAAAGTAACACCAGAATCGTTATACTCAGGCACTGGTCAAAATACTGACTACTGAGGTCTGAGAAACAGTCACTGGAGAGAGGGATTTCCTACTCCCATCAAGTTCATGGGTACTCCATACTTGATGTTTTCTTTTCTTATGTCCAGTAAGATTTGAGCTCACTCTAAAAGCTTTTCCACATTCCTCACATTCATAAGGTTTCTCCCCAGTATGAACTCGCTTATGTCCAATCAGAGCTGAGCCCTGACGGAAGGACGTGCCACACTCACTGCAGGTGTATGGCTTCTCACCAGTGTGGATTCTTTTGTGCTGCCTCAGGACTGAACTATGATGGAAGGCCATTCCACATACCTCACATTTGTGAGGCTTCTCTCCAGTGTGAATTCTTCGATGATTGGTCAAGTTTGACTTCCCACTGAAAGCTTTCCCACACTCTAAACATTTGTAAGGTTTCTCTCCAGTGTGGATTCTCTGATGGATGGTAAGGCAGTGCTTATCTTGGAAGGTTTTCCCACAATCCCTGCATTGATAGGGCTTCTCCCCTGTATGCTCTCGTTCATGAGCCCTGCGCTTACAGTTATGACGAAAGGCTTTCCCACACTCCTCACACCTGTAACGTTTCTCTTCAGTGTGGATCCTTCTGTGTTTGGTGAGTTCTGCCTTGATGCTGAAGTCTTTTCCACACTGGGGACACCCATAGTGTTTCTCCCGAGTATGGATTCGTTTGTGTTTGCTTAGGTCTGAGCTCCGACTGAAGGCCCTTCCACACTTGCTGCACTCATAAGGTCGTTCCCCAGTGTGGATTCTTATGTGTTTGGTGAGGTCTGAACTCCCACTGAAGGCCTTCCCGCACTCCTCACATTCATATGGCTTCTCCCCAGTGTGGATTCTGCCATGGATGGTAAGGGAATGCTTAAACTGGAAGGCCTTCCCACAGCAGTTACATTTGTAAGGCTTCTCCCCGGTGTGGATAAGCTGATGCATACAGAGACGGTTCCTGGTCTTGAAGGCCTTCCCACAGTCCCTGCACTCGTGAGGCTTCTCCCCACTGTGGGTTTTTTTATGTCGGCAAAGAGCTGATCTACTGTTGAAAGCCTTCCCACACTGGGTGCAATTAAAAGGTTTCTCCCCTGTGTGGATTATCCGGTGCATAGAAAGCTGATTTCTGGTCTTGAATGCTTTCCCACACTCATTACACACATGGGGTTTCTCACCAGAATGAATTTGCTCATGGAGAATTAGATCTGAGTGCCAACTGAAGTTTTTGCCACACCTGGCACATTCATGGAGTTTCTGTGCTATAAGAACTTTATTACATTGACTATGTTTTGAGTTTGGATTCAAGTTTTTACTAAGCACTTTCTGGTTCTTTCCTTTTTTGCAGGTCACTTCCTCAGAGCCTTCTTTCTCTTCTCTCAGTTTCTCCCTTATAGATGTTTCCCATTGATTCTCTAATTTGACATCCTGAACACAAACTTCTCTAACCTTAGGATCCCGGGAATCAACTTTTAGGAGACTGTTAAATTTCATCCAGTAGGCTTCTCCATTTTCAAAAATCTCTTGTTGTGAACTTGCCTTTTCATTCTCAGGCCACATCTTGTCAGCTGACACTTAAACAAGAAAATACAAATGTCAGAGGGAAGGAAATAAGTGAGATGGGAGGCGTGAAGCAATGTTAAGCTGTTTGAAGAGTAAATAACTTTTCCATGCTGGAAAAATTACTAACGTTGTGGCCAAAAGTCAGAACAGGCTGAAATAATGAAAAGTATTGAGATATTTTACACTCAGCACACTTTATAAAAAATCCTTAAAAACCTATTCCTCCTCTATAGTCTCCTAGTTTAGTGAGTGTAAACTCTATACACCTAGTCATCTAAGCCACAAAACAAAATAATCTTCAACTCTGTCTCCCTTGTATTTACCCAGCTAACATTTTACAAATTCTACCTGTGAAGAGAGTTACAGAGGAGGTGCTGAAATGCTGATGCAGTCCCTTTTCAAGGAACTGTCTGCTTTGCTCCCAAGGGTGGGCCCTGGAGAGCCATATTTCTGTTATGTGACTCAGCCCATCTGGTTGGGGCAGATTAGATCTGTGCAATACCTGACCCAAACCAGGTCAGATTCTCTAATCCTGGACTTTAGAATTGTGATCTGACGGCAGGTAAGGCCAGCTCTAAGAGTAGCTCAGTCTTTAGCACTTAAATTTGAGAACTAGTGGTGGTGGGATGGTATTTGGTACAGAGGAGGGAATGTTCTGCCATCTGGTCCGAGAAGAAGAGAAGGTCAATTTGCCTAGAAAGAAGAATGAAGCTGACTCACAAAGAAGCAGGGAATACAGTTGGAAACCTGATGGTTTTGAGTCTCTTCTAGGGCCTGACACATAGCTGCCCTTAGGTCCCATGACACATCCTGAATAATAAATAAATTCATGTTTTTCTGCTTAAGCTAGCTTGGGTTAATTTCTATTGCTGTCAACCAAAGACTCCAAATACATCTTATTAATATTATCTCTGAACTCTATCTCTTCCTCTTTATTTCCACTGCCAGTGCATTCTCACTAATTGCTATATCCCTCAAACATCCTTTACCCTGAATCCCTTCTAATCCATCCTCTGCACTGCTTCCAGATTATTCTCTCTGAAAATCAAGTCTAATCATGTCACTTTTTAGCTTAAAATACTTCAATGGCACTCCATAGTTAACCAGACAGGAAGAAAGTAAAGCATACGGTCAAGAGTCCTGGCTCTAGAGTGAGACTGCCTGGGTTCAAATCCTAGTATGACAGTTAATAAATCTTAATACCTGTGTGAACTTGGGAGGATGACTTCACTTCTCCTTTGCCTCAGTTGCTTTATCTAAATGAGTTAATGTATGTAAAGCACATGCCACACTGAAGTACTTTAATCAATATTAGCTGTTATTGTAAGTTCAAGTTTTGTAGTTTAAATTCCTTAAGAAAACTCCCAAAAAACAGACGTCATATCATGATCTTGCCCCTTTCTACTACTTATGAACCTCCCCAAAGCTATTCTAAGTCCCCTGCTCTACTCACACTGAACAATTCATAGTTCATATTATTTTATTCCTCAATGCTTTCTCACATGTTATTCCTTCTGCCTAGAATGACTCTCACCTGTCTCAATTTATGAGCACTGCAGTAACTGACACACAGAAGGGTAATAAATATTCTGAGATTTTTTTTTTTTTTTTGAGGTGGAGTCTCACTGTGTCCCCCGGGTTGGAGTGCAGTGGTGTGATCTCAGCTCACTGCAACCTCTGTCTCCTGGGTTCAAATGATTCTCCGGCCTCAGACCTCCCAAGCAGCTGGGATTACACCCAGCATGCACCACCACACCCAGCATGCACCACCACACCCAGCTAATTTTTGTATTTTTAGTAGAGATGGGGTTTCACCATACTGGCCAGGCTGGTCTCAAACTCCCGACCTCAGGTGATCTGCCCATCTTGGCCTCCCAAATTGCTGGGATTACAGGCATGAGCTACTGTGCCCAGCCTCTGAGCCTTTTTTGAGGGCCAAATTGCAAAAATCTATTAGATAGGTTGCAAAGAACCAATTAGATAATAACAGAATAATTGCCCAAATAGTTTGTCACTGTTTCAATTTTCTTTTCCTTAAGTTTCCTAAATGGGTTTCCTTTCTGGGCCCTTCGACTGGATGATCCACCACTGAGAATGTTCCATAACCATTATGCCACATGGAAGATCAGAGGGAACTGAAAGTTTCTCTATTACTCACCTGGGTAGGAGCAGCTTAGGGACTCCCTGTCCTGTGGATCCTGCACACAGGGGTCTACTTCTCGCTCCAGATGAGAGATTAAAGGAGGTTTAGGAAATGGAAATCCTGGTTGCAGAGAAGAAATAAGTGTGTAGAGTAACTTATAACTTAATAACTTATAACTTAGCTAAGCAGCCCTGATCCTTCTGTTTGTATATGAAAACAGGAAAGAAATGTTAATTTAGATAGAGAAAAGGGTTTTTCAGGGGTCTAGTAACATGTAAAAGAACATGTTTGGGGACTTTCTCAGAAAAGTCACACTCAGAAGGAAAGAGAAGTTCTGGGAAACAGTCATTTGGGTGTGCTCTCCTGTTTTTTTTTTTTTTAATTTTATTTTGTTTTACTTTAGGAGAATGGGAGTCTGGTATAGGAAGACTATCAGTTTCAGGCACATAGAAGGCAGTTCTTGACTAGGAGCGGAATATAGAACACCCCATAAAAAAATGAGAGGCTTGAGGAAGCAAGAACCCAGGGAAAACAGAAGGTAAATGTCTCCTTTTAACTCATTCCAAATCAGAAAACAGCAACTAGGTTAGCCAAAAAATTATCTTGCTATGTAATAGAGGCAACTCAAAACTCTTAATTTTTGGGCAAGATCCTGATGATAAAGAATAAGGACTCTTTCAATATGAGACCTTATATACATCAATAAATAAATCAATTAAATAATAAAAAAAGAAGGTAGAAAGCATTAAGTGTAGGGAAGGTCCTTACCAAGTGATACCATGTTCCCATAATTTTCCAACATCACATCCTTATAGAGATGCCTTTGAGCGTAGGTCAGACACTGCCACTCCCTGTTAGTGAAGTTCACAGCTACATCCTCAAATGTCACTGACTCCTGAAATAATATGCTCCTGCTATCCTGGAGAAAACGCCATAGTTTCCTCAGGAAACAGAGGCAGAAGAAAGGAATTTGCAAGGAGGAGGTTTATAGAAGTGAAAGGCTCTTCCCTTTTGGTGGGTATGTACAAATGAGATGAAAGGGAGCATGGGGTTTTGATAGCAAAAAATAATGAAAGAGAAAACAACCCACAAGTGGTTTATCATGCAACAAAATGTTCCTTATGAGAGGGAGAACATTGATTTAGGAGTTGCACAGCCAGAGAACGCAGTGAAAACAAGGCCATATTTTGGAGGTAGTGATGTATTTTCAAGGAGGAGGAAAGGGGCCTCAGCTCACTTGGGCCTGGCTCATTAGTGTGATATCTGCTTGCGGCAGGTTTCCTTGGCTTCCATCTTTAGTGAAGGCAGGATATGGAGCAGGTAATAGAGCTGAGGGAAGATAAGTAAGCCAAGAGTCAATATAGCACAGTATTAATGAAATCTCCTGCATTCGTCTTCTCTTCCTCAAATGTAGAAGCTTCTGCAGCTCTAACCTAGGGCTTTAGGCTACTGCCTTACAGTATCCTTCCTCTTCATTATTTTTCTAGTCTCAACTTCCAGTGTTGGGCATCAGGCCCTGGCACAGCAGCCAAGGCAGCTCTTGGAAATGCACTCTTTTCCTGTCTCACCTACTGTTTTCCTGTGGTCTTTGTCCTGGAATAAACTTTCCCCCTCCCCAAACAGATCTGGTAAAAAGGCCCAAATCACTTATTCCCTGGTTTTGAATAGACCTTCTTCCTGTATTTGAATACTGAAGTCATTTCTTCCAAAATACTTGGGGTAGAAGGAGGGTGAAAAAGAGTGTGTGCATGCACGCGTATGTGTGTGTGTGCATATGTGTTGAACAGAAGCATCCAGGGATAGGACCAAAGCTTATTTTTTCAGGTAACTTAATGGCTGGTCTACCTCCAGTTAGTTACAAATTTTTTTCCTTATTCCTCTTAGAGAAGAATCATTCTTCCCGATTTTGCACATTTTTCCTACTAATTCCCTAGTACTGAGTTATCCTCCCTATGTCAATATAGTATAGCACACAGAGCATTTTAAAATGCAAAAGAAACTTTATAAAGAGTGTCCAAGTGTTCAGGTATAATCCATATGATTGGGTGAGAAGTAGTTTCTTTTTTTTTTTTTGAGACTTAAGAGTCTCGCTCTGTCTCCCAGGCTGGAGTGCAGTGGCGTGATCTTGCCTCACTGCAAGCTCTACCTCCTGGGTTCACACCATTCTCCTGCCTCAGCCTCCCAAGTAGCTGGGACTACAGGTGCCCACCA
The DNA here is from genome assembly GCF_000001405.40 of Homo sapiens. NCBI lineage: Eukaryota > Metazoa > Chordata > Mammalia > Primates > Hominidae > Homo > Homo sapiens. Next base: position 266,533 of record NT_167245.2, read on the forward strand.
CCATGCCTGGCTAATTTTTTGTATTTTTAGTAGAGATGGGGTTTCACCATGTTAGCCAGGATGGTCTCCATCTCCTGACATCATGATCCACCCGCCTCGGCCTCCCAAAGTGCTGGGATTACAGGCATGAGCCACCACGCCCAGCTGAGAAGTAGTTCATATTACTAATTAATAGGGCCTGACTTTATTCCTTGCAGGCCAGCTCAATCTTTCTGTAGCTTCAATGTTTAAGGTGCCTTATTTTTCTTGATAGTTTATCAACACATCGCCAAGTCCAAATCTGAATAATTGCTGTCTGCTTTTAAGACACCAGCAGGGTCAAAGTAATCTATTGGTAAGATTTTATAATCACCCTTTGGATTTAGACCTCCAAGACTATCATTCCATTTTTACGAAAAACCGATTTAGAACCAAGCTGATTTCTTTTCACTGAAATTGCCCAAGAAGACTCTTCTTTAGTTTCAGCTACTTATAGCTTTTGACCAAGACCAAGGCTGCATCTCAGTCATGGTGGTTCCATACAGTTTTTCCACTGTCTCACTCTAAAAGCTCCGAGCTCCTTTATAACTGTCTCAAAAAGTCTAAACTCATCTGGATGGCACACAACTCACAGCAGACACATGTTTGTGCCTTGTTAATGTTACATAACAGTTCTTTTCCTTATAACATTAACACACTTAAAGCTCTCAATTGGATGTTTTCAACCATTATTTTATTATGAATATTTTCAAGTATATAGAAAAGTTGAAAAAATTATATAGTAAATATCCATATACCAATCACTTACATTCCACAATTTACGTTCTGCAATATTTGCTTTATCACATACTTATCCATTTATCTATTCCTCTCTCTGTTCATTAATGTATTTTATTTTTTGAATCATTTCAAAGTAAGTTGAAAGCATCAGTACACCTCACCCCTAAACAGTTTAACATGTATATCATTAACTGGAAGTTCAACATTTGTTTACCTTCTTTTTCGAGGTAAAATTTACATATAATGAAATGCACATGTCTTAAATGTACCCTTAGAGAAACTTTGACAAAAGCATACCCCTATGTAACTCATTCCCTACTGGTTTTTACCATATCTTCTTCACAACTGGGAAAGTCTGTCACTCATAGTGATTCATAAGCTTTATTTTTTAGCTTTAGCTTTAGAAATTGAAAGGTTATTCCTCTTAAGTTAAAAATGAATTTAGGAAACAGGCTACATGAAAAAACAACATAAAACTTTTTGTTAAAGCAGTATACAGATATCTTGTGGGATAAGATTAATACATTTGTATTGTATTATATGATAGGTGGCTACAGAATTTCTGACCCTGAAAATCCACCACAGCAGATTTCACGACCATTTGAGAAAAAGAAGACTGGGAGACTCGTGCATCCGAGTTTAGCAATAGCTATTATTTTTTATTTCTAAATCTATAAAAAATTTATGTTCTATATTATTAATTCTCATTTGTGATCCCTTGTACAGCAGATATCTCAGGATTCCTCCTCTAGATGTTTCAACACTATATCTAGAAACACATTTTATTTTTATTTTTTGCAGGTAGCATATACTAAAAAGCTTACTTTTGAATGTGCCTACTCCTCTGTCCAAAAGTCTATGCCTTTCTGGGTTTGATTTTATGACTCCTGAATTGCTATATACTATCTCCTAGGTTGCACCTCCAACAGCAATTTTTTTTTTTTTTTTTTTAGACAGAGTCTCACTCTGTTGCCCAGGCTGGAGTGCAGTGGCATGATCTCAGCTCACTGCAACCTCCACCTCCTGGGTTCAAGCAATTCTTCTGCCTCAGCCTCCTGAGTAACTGGGGTTACAGGTGCATTACACCACACCTGGCTAATTTTTGTATTTTTAGTAGAGATGGGGTTTCACCATATTGGCCAGGCTGGTCATGAACTCCTGACCTCTAGTGATCCACCCACTTAGGCCTCCCAAAGTGCTAGGATTACAGGCATAAGTCACCGCACCCGGCCTACCATCAGCTTTTATACAAATCTTAACCACTTTTCCTCCTCACATACGCCACCAAAGAGCACAAGGCTTCAATGGGAAAACTTTTGCTTCTTCTTTTGTCACTGCTTTATTTTATATTTTGGAGATATCTATACATCATTTAAAAGTATCAGGGCTCCAGAAAGGTCTGCAGAAGTAAAATTGTATATATTCAAATTTTACATGTTGGCAAAATTATGTTTGGGTAGGAATTACTGAATTATACCACAAGTTTTATAAGTGTAAAATATGTGCAAATATGTACGCTATTTACCATATATCTCAGGTTATACAAACAGTAAATGCCTGACTGCATTGATTCTTTCTGATAAATTGCTTTGTAGAATCTTTTACACACTGATTTTTTTCAAAATTTAAGATACTGACAGAAACTGAATATTTAGTTCCTCTAGATATTGATCCAAGCCTCGTATAGAAACAAAATAAGACTTTCTATAAATGCTCATTAATGAACAGATTTTTGGGCCCCAGTGTGGCATTTTCCACCCACTCTGTGTCCTTACTACATTCTCAGCTGCCGTGACTCCTGCCACAATCTCCTGTGTATCTCACCGCTTTCCTGAGGGAGCTGGGTATCCTGGCGGGTCCAAAGCAGCTGGCTTGGTGGTCCTGAACTCTCATCCAACAGCACAACCTATTGCAAGACACAGAATGAATTCAGGAAAGTTATGAAGGTGAGAAAAATACATAGGAAGATGCAAGCAACCATACAGGTCTATCCACAGAAACTGTCTCCCAGAAATACCAAAAGAAGGGAGAAAATAATGGACTCAGTTCCTAATACCTTATGAAAACTAGAAATGGCATCTACAACTACAAAGCTTTAATGATCACCAGGTCAAGCAGCAAAAACAGTATCTAGGAGGAGACACCTCCAACAGTATCTAGAGTCAGACACACCTCCACTCACACTGCTTTCCTTCTTTCTTGGACTCACTTCTCCTTCTTCCTCCTTGTGATGTATCACAGACCCTCCTCTTCTTACCTCCTGCATCTTTTTACTCAGGTTTCTTTAACAGTCTTCCACTGCTGTCCTGGTTTCTTCCTACTGGTCAGATCCAGTTCTCAAACAAGCTGTGAAGTGGCTCCAGTTGATGCCAGCCTCCTTTGGAGAACACATGTTTTGGTGGTGCCAGCCAAAGGGCCCTTCTTGACCCACAGTGCCGCTACTGTTTGGCTTAATGTGTCAAACACTGCCCTGGATTTGGGGTTCATTAGCAACACTAAACCGCTGTGATCTCACATCTTGTTTCCCTGCATATTTGGTGAAGGGAAAAGAGGAATGTGACCACAGGAAAAAATAGGGAGTCACTGAGAACCTGAGGCACGAAGTCAAACTGAAAATGTGAACATATCCAGAATACAATCTCAACGGCTACCACCCTTGTCTGAGCCACCATCACCTGCTATCTCCCCTCCTTTCCATTACTGCGGTAGTCTTCTAACTGGTCTCCTTTCTTCAATCCTTGCCTTCCTCCTTTCTTTTTTTTTTTTTTTTTTTTTTTTTTTGAGACGGAGTCTCGCTCTGTGGCCCAGGCGGGAGTGCAGTGGCGCAATCTCGGCTCACTGCAAGCTCCACCTCCTTTCTTAATAGGGCAGTCTGAGTAGTCCGTTTACAACTTGAGTTGGATCATTTCATCGCTCTGCTGAAAACTCTCCAGTGGTTCATACTTAAAATAAAACCTGAAGTCCTTACCGAGGTATACAAGGCCCTACTGAATGTGCCCGTGACTTCTAACTTCCTCTCCTGCTCACCCAAAATAAGAGCTGAAGTCTTAAGAGTGGCATACAAGTCTACAGGATGTGTCATTCTCAACACCTTCTACTCTTCTCCCACTCCCTCAATCTTCAGCCATACCGACCTTCCTTCTCTTTCATCTTAGGGCCTTTCCATTGGCTGCTCCCTTCACCTTAAGCGATCTCCATGGCTAATAATCTTGCCTCCTTCAAGTGTTTTCTTATAGGTCATCTTCCCAAGGAGGTCTACTCTGAGTGCCTTATTTAAAATTGCAGCCTATCCCCTCCTTCCAATCCTGATGGGCCTTACCTTGCTTTACATGAATTCTTCTTTTCCTCTATAGCACTTTATAATTTTCCAGTATGGTGCATAAGTTACTTATTAATATATACATTGTTTACGGTGGTTCTACCTTCGCTAAAATCTAGGCTCTTAGGCTCCATGAGGGCAGGAATTTTTGTCGTCTTGTTCACAGTTGTATTCTCAACGCCTAAAACAGCGCTTGCAATAGTATGTGCTGGATTAAAAATTAGCTGACTGAATGAATATATGAATGGATGCTGTAGAGAAGAATAAAAAGAATGGGTCAGGAGGCGACAAGAGCAAGACTCCGGTCTCAAAAAAAAAAAAAAAAAATGGGTCACGAGCCCCTGGGAGGAGGTAGGGCAAATGGGCGGGAAATGCTCATTTTGGGGAATGGCTTCGAGGGAGGAAACCGCAGCCGACTCCCTCCTCAAATCTGGCCCCAAAGACCCGCCCCTGCCTGCAACCCCAGGGGCCCGGGTATTTAGGTGAGGGGGGCGACGGCGGCACCGGACTCCTCTCCTCTCAGCTGCAAATTCCGACCCACGACGGCCCAAGGCACAGACCTTCCCGCCGGTACTCTCCCCAAGAAATGAGAAACAGAAATATACAGAAGCTCCACTTCCTAGTCCGCCAATTATCATTTCCGGTGATTTTCTAGGAAAGGCGTCAACTCTCTGGTCTAGGCGTTCCCTTAAACTCTCCGCCCTCCTCCTCGCGGCTCAGCCTTCTAGGAGTTTGCGTGCGTTTATGGCCTGTGCAAAGGGGTTGCAGAAATATTACCCTTTTGCTCCTTTTTTCCCATGTAGAGGAACCTCTAGATAGGAATGGACAGAAGTTTTGTGACAAATATATGAAAAAGTTACTTTTAAATATTAACTAAGAACACAAATAATTGAATGTCTTTTTCAAAAGTAAAGACTATTTTAAGCCTATGCAGAAGTCGAAAGAAGAGTATAATTAACCCATATATACCCATCATTTACATTTAAAAATACATAAAATTCTGCCACACTTGTTTCATCCATCTCCATTTTTTCTTGCTGAAACGTTTTAAAGCAAACCCCAAATATCTTACTTTCAACTTCATTATGCATTTATTTTAAAAAGGATATTTTCCTACAGAATCACAATACCATTATCCCATTTAACAAAATAATTCCTGGTTATCATCTAATACCAAGTCCATATTATATTTCCCTAAATATATACATATGCTTCTTACATTTGTTTTCTATTTCATTCAAGATCTAAAGTTCCAGTATTTAATTTGGGCATGTGTCTTAATTCTTTTAAAATTCACATCTGAACTAGTTCCTCCTTCCATCCTCCTCTTCGTCTTCCCCTCATATAGTCAACTAATTGAACAAATTGGGACATTTGTCCTGAATGTTCTACATGCTGGCTTTGTCTATTTGTGTCCCCATTTTATTAGTTTCTCCAGCCTCATATTTCCTGTAAAACTTGATGTTACCTCTAAAGGTTTGATTAGAGTTAGGTTTAACTTTGTTAGTAAGAATCCTTAGGTGGTGCTATGTACTTTTTGCCACACATCAGGAAGCATATAATGTTTTTGATGCTAAGATTGACCAGTGGGTTTAATACTTGATAGCTGAATCCTTCCATGTAAACTTTCCCACTGGCTTTTAATCTGATAGATTCAGCCACCCCATTTCATTAGAGTTTGTAAAATTGTAATTTTTCTAATTCAATAATTTTTTCACATTTATTAGTTAGAACTCCTCTATAAAGAAAAACTTTCCTTCATCAATTTAGCAATTTAGGGCTATTTGGTTATCCTGAAATGTAGTTTGTACAGGAAAGAAAGACTGTTTAATTTTCAACATAATTGCCAATTTTCAGAAAAAGCAGTTGTGCCTTAGGTGCCATCAATGGTAACCACCTTACAAAATGTGATAGCCATCCTATAAAATGGCTAGCTGGGCCCTACTGTCCAGCATTCACATCCTTGTGTAGCCCCCTTCCACATTGTACCAGGGTTGGTTTGTGTGACTGAATGATCTGGTAAAAGTGATGCTATGTTTTGTTTGTTTGTTTGTTTGTTTGTTTTGTTTTTTGAGACAGAGTCTTGCTCTGTTGCCCAGGCTGGAGTGCAGTGGCGCGATCTTGGCTCACTGAAATCGCCACCTCCCGGGTTCAAGTGAGTCTCCTGCCTCGGTTTCCCAAGTAGCTGGGACTATAGGCATGCATCAGCATGCCCAGCTAATTTTTATATTTTAGTAGAGATAGAGTTTCGCCATGTTGGCTGACTGGTCTTAAACTCCTGGCCTCAAGTGATCTGCCCACCTTGGCCTCCCAAAGTGCTGGGATTACAGCCATGAGCCACCGCACCTGGCCGATGCTACATTATCTCTAATATTAGGTTATAAAATAATCTACGGCTTCTGTTTTGGTCTGTTTTTCTTTCGTAGATCACACACCCTTGGGAAAGCCAAATGCCATGTTGTAAGGAGAGGCCCAGGTGGTGAGGAACTGAAGCCTCCTGCCAGCAGACACATGAGTGAGTTTGGAAGTGGATCTTTCTACCTTAGTCAAGCTTTCAGATGACTGCAGCCCTGGTTGATGTCTTGGGTGCAACCTTATGACATACGCAGGACCACCAGCCAAGCTGCTCCCAGATTTCTGGTCTTCAGAAGCTGGGGAATGGCTTTGAGGGAGGAAACTGCAACAGATGTTTGGTTCTAAGTTTTATAACTAATGCAAAATTTTGTTTTCTCTTTTTGTGCATCTAATGTGCACTAATGTAAAATCTTTTTGTGCAACTAATGCAAAATTTTGTTTTCTCTTTTTGTGCACAACATCAAGTGTTCTGCATCAGTTGATAACTAATGCAAAATTTTGTTTTCTCTTTTTGCATATCAATATGAACACATGGATTTAAAAAAATACATTCAATGAGTCTCAATCAATTGCAGTAGTTATTCTTTTTAATGTTCAAATTATTTCATCTTTGGTCAGTGGGAGTCCCTTTATTTTATCTCCTGTGTCCTTTTCATCCAACTCTAAGCGTCTTTGCTTTTTTCCTTTATGGCAAGATAAATGTTTCAGACACATGTCATACATTTCCTGCCTCAGACCTGGAATCAGCCATTTTTCCAAGGTGTTCTGGTGCTTTCAGTGGGGGCAAGGATTGCATACCTTTGTGAATAGTCATGGTTAGCTGTTTTAAAAATGTATCAAAATGAAATAAAATTTGCTTAATTATGAGATTAAATCCTGGCTACCCCACTCACAATGTGTGTGTATCATACCTTAGACCCACCCTAGTTTGTCTATCTGCAAAATGGGTCCAGTGTAAATACCTAAATTTCAGAGCCGTTATAAGGATAAATTAGTTAATACGTGGAAATCACTTAACACATTGCCTGGCATCAAATTTCATGATGAGAATAACTGCAAACCTGGAAGATACTATAATGGTAATGAGGTATACTTTCTTCATTTTATACTTGAGAAAATTGAGGCCCAAGAGATTAAAAACTTGTTTGTACAAAAGAGGATAAAATTAGAAGAGAATCTAATGATTTCAGACTCTTGGATCTCATACCTAGACTACTTTGGATATAAATGCAGCCTTTCCAGCCCAGTCGGGTCTTCTATTTATTCAAAGACAAAGGAGGTAAGAAAATACTTGGCACAGTAGCAATAAAGTGGTATTATGGGAAGTGCAGAAACTTTATATTGAGAAGATCTTGTTCCTGATTCTGCAACTTGTTAGCTATGATACTGTGAGCAAGTTACTTAATTTCTCTGTGTCTTAATTGCTGCATCTGTAAAATAGTGAAAACAAATCCCTTATGCACAAATTCATTGTGAGAGGGTTAATATACATATATTGTATATGAAAATGCCTGGCCATATTGCTTGCTGAATAAAAATCATTATACAAAAATAATTTCTTCAATCCCCCAATTTTATAAAATTTTATTCTCATCTAATGGAAATTGGCATTTTAAGTAGAATGATCCCTAAGGATACTAAGTCTATAATTTTGTAAAGGACTTTAGTGAATACTGTGCAAAGGCACTGTGCAAGGAGCTACAGGAGAGATGCTATGCGTGGTCATCTACCTTCCAGGCTGACTGGGTACAGTCTTTCTTCCCAATATTAATCTACTTAATAGTAATAATGTCCAGTTCACATATTTTTGTGCAATACATTCATGAAAGACTGCTATACCCTTTGCTGTTATAAAGATACTTCCACAGTAGACTGTTAGCATATACTTTAATAATCTAGTTGGATTAAGAGACATTTATTTACATTATTTCCTCTAGGCTAACCACAATCGCTCATAAAACATCTCCTAAAATAATTAATACTGGAATTTTACCAGGGATCCATGTCAAATTTTTCACCCTGTTAATTCCACAGTTCACCTTCTTACTTTTTGAAAATTTGGATATTTGTCAGACTTGGGCATTTGTTGCACTACTCAAAAATGGGCTTCAGGGGTCCTGTGGCCAATCCTCCTGAACTTTAGTATGCTTTAAGCTGGGCATGAAAACTTGTAGTTACTGTTTAACTACCTTCCTTATGTAAATGTTTGTCCTATCATTCTCAACTTGAAGGTCACGACACTTGATGGAGATATGAAAGCCTGATAATGTTAAGTAATTTTATGGCCCTTCTGCCATCTGTCAAAATTACAAAATTCATTTCCTGGGGCTTTTGAAAAAAATAGCAAATATTTCAGGCATACTAAAGAGTAATATAAAGAACACTCAACATCTAGCTTAAGACATAAAAGATTATATACACAATTAAATCACCATGTCTACTCCTCACCAATTCCTTCCCCCTTCCTTCCCAGGTTAACTACTATCTTGATTTTGATGTTATTATTCCCATGCATGTTCACATATTTTTAGTACATACGTGGGTAGCCACAAATATTATATAGTATAATTTACATGTTTTACAAATTTTATACAAATAGTTTCAGTTTGTACATATCCTTTGAGCTCTAAATACTTGATTTCATTTTGGTTCAATATTTTTGGCAAGAATACATTATAGGGGTTACTATGTAATTTGTACTCAACTTTACATGTAGTTTTGAGATTTATCCTTCATGAAAAATGTGGCTCTAGCTCATCCATTTTAACTGCCATAGACAGGTCTTCCCATTTTCCTTCCAATAATCTTTTTAATTAACCTGATTGTTTTTCAGTTCAACTCAGAACTTGCTAGCAAGTATTTTTTTTGTCTTTGATATTTCATTTAAAAAATATTGGCAATCTTTTTGAAATAATTGTTTTCTTGGAATTTTCCCTTCTAAAAGGGTAATTTCCCATAATTTTTGGTAGAAAGTTTATATTCTAATATGGGAAAGAACAATCTAAAAAGTATTTACTATGGTACATAGAGGAAACTTAAATGCATATTATTAAGTGAAAGAAGCCAATTTGAAAAGGTTACATTCTGTATGATTTCAACTATATGACATTCTGGAAAAGGCAAAACTATGGAGACAGTAAAAAGATCATATATGTAGCATCTTAACCAAAGAAAAAAAAGTTCAGTGGTTGTCAGGGGTTGGAAGTGGAGAAGGATGACCAGGCCGAGCACAAAGGGTATTTTTAGGGCAGTGAAAATACTACGTATGATTATGTAATGGTGGATACATGCCACTATACATTTGTCCGGACTCCAGGTGATTGTCAATGTAGGTTCACCCCTCCGGTTGGGGATGCTGAGAGTGAGAGAGCTACACATGTGTGGAGCAAGGAGTATGGGACATCTCTGTACTTTCAGCTCAATTTTGCTGTGAACCTAAAACTGCTCTAAAAGATAAAATCTAGTAAAAAAAGTATTTATTACTTCCCCAAACTTTTAAATATATCTTTTGTGTTTAACCTTATTACTTACATAGATGGAACAATTTTCTGTTCAAGGTTCTGCTCATAATCATTATATTGAAACATAACATGATAAAAATATATTATAGAAAAATACCATATATTGGAAATATATTCTTGAAAATACAGAATACATTACTTATAACGTATGCTTGTTGGCCCTCATGATCCTAAAAGTTATAGCACATTTAAATGTATGTGACTTATGGTTCTTTTTAAAATAAAGCTACTGAGAACAGTCAAATGGTGATAGATCAGTCAAAGCTGCTTTGCGTCCATTTTGTTCAGACTCATTTCAATTCATTCTTCAACAAATATTTCTAAAAGCAACTGTACTAAGAGCTTGGAATAACATGAATGTACAAAACGGTTAAAGATCTCTGCCCCGTGGAGCTTATATTCAAGTAATTCTAATTGACTCGTGCTTTCATTTTCTTTGTTTTTCTCTTTGTATACTGAAGAGGATAAATTTCATATTCAAGCTAATCTGTTCCTCCCAAATGGTAACAGTGCAACACTGGCCAAGCTGATTCAGACAGCACAGCTTCCCGGTGTCTGCAGGGCTGGACCAAAGAGAAGAGTCTTCCGCGGGTGCTAGAAAAGCGAAGCACGCGTTACCATGGAGACTGCGGAATGGAAAAGCGTTCGGTTTCTTGTTTCCTAGCCGCGAATGGGGTCGTGGTTCCTTCGACCTCGCCTGGGGAGAAAGGGGACGGAGGGCTTCGGGCTATACTTGGGCCACACAGCCGGGAAGCTGAGGCCGCGGGGCAGGTCTGCGTGGCGGCGTCGAGTCCGAGCGGGGAAGCCCCTTTGCGGGAACTCTGGGGCGGGGCGGGGCGGGGAGGTGGGTAGGGAGGGTCCCGCCAGCAGAGGCATCTTATTTTTAACCTCTTCTCGGCTGTTTTTCTCTCGTCCATTTGCTCTCCTCCTTTAAGCCATCCTTTAATATTAAACATTAAAAAATATATTTGGCAAACATTTGAATAGAGCGCGCTTATTCTGGGTCAGGTGTCGTTTTAAATGCTTTATGTGTGCTAACTCATTTAATTCTCAAACAATCCAATGGGGTAAGTATTATCATTATCCCAATTTTTAGATAGGCCTGGAGAAGATAATAAACTTGCCAACAGTGTCACAGCTGGTAAGTTGAGGGTGGGAAACCCCGGCCTAACACATATATTTTCTTTTTATGTTCTGTAAGGATTGGGATCCTTTTCATTTTATTAGACAGAAAAGGACAGTTAGCACTGTCATTGAACCCTCAACATGGTATGATCTCTTGAGAAGATTAAGCAGCCATTTGGTGGCAGATTGATCACTTTGAACCCTTTCTATTAATACCTTGCAGTGGGCAGAGACTCATCCTTATAGGGATTTGTATGTATTCCAGGTATAATTTTGCTTCCCTGTCTCCAATGCCCCTGCTAATACTACCCAAGGACTCACAATGTCTGATGTACTGACATGGAACCTTGCCTTACATCTCAGACCAAGGGACTCACTTTACTGTGAAGGATGTGTTACAAAGGGCACATGATCATGGGATCTACTGGTCCTACCTTATTCTATATTACACAGAAATGGCAGCCTGTTTTTCCCCAGCTTTGCCAACATAATAATTAGCAAAACTTTTTAATTATATGATAATATATTTCAGGAAGAAAACACTGACAACCGTGAAATTCAAACTAGATAGTAGAGAAACTGGAATTGGGGAGACCAGTTAGAAAGCGGTTTGGAAACAAAGATACACATGAGTTTTAAAGCTGTGGGCTAATGTAGATGTTGATGTGATTATAAGTCTCTGTTAAAAGAGTTAGGGTGAGGTTTGAGGTGGTTTTAGATTATTATTTTTGCTAAAGAACCCAGAAATGACTAAGTTTATCCCTGTCAATCACTTCTGACACTCTACTCATATCATGTTCCTAAGGAAGTTGAACAAAAGGAGCGATAGCCAAATGGGACTAACTATAATAGCTAATATTTATTGAGTACTTATTAATACTGTACTAAAGATATTGTGTGCTACATTTTACTTAATATTCTATGGGGCAATAAGCAGAACTATTCAGAAATGATCCTGGGATCTCACTCTAGATTGCCCAGGAAATGTGCTAGCTACAACTGGAGTTTCCCGTTCCTCTTGGAAAGAGGGGCTGCACCTACGTATAGCTTTGCATGAGACCAGCTGCTTACACTTTCTAACACGAAGGGGCTGCAACTGTCCATAGGATGCATGGTCTCCAGGTGTTGGGCATCTGGTCCTCAGATGCTTCCTCAGCTCTGCTAGCATCTAAACCCAGACTGCCCGGCAATCAAGTAGTCTGCTTGTTGTCTTACTGAAAAGTGGTGTTCAAGTTTATCCTTGACAAGATAGAATAATTGGGTCAGGACCAGAGCCCCAACCTATTGCATGTGAAATGGCTTGTTCTTGCCCCTGGTTCACCTCTCCATGGGATTATGAGAGGATTGAGAACTCTATGCCTCTTGTGCCTGACTCTTGCTTTCTAAGTTTCCCCAGTAAATCTTATTCCCATTCCTTCGTTCATACTATGTGATGTTGTAGAATTTATTGCAAGGCCCATTGTACCACATCCTTGCAGCAAATTTATGACTCAGAAATTACTATTTCTATCTTAGAGATGAGGAATATGAGACAGAAAAAGTCACATAGCAGGTAGGTGGTAGGATTTGAAACCAAGTCATCTAGTTCCTGAGCCCATGATCTCAAAAACTTTGTTAAACTAAATGGAACTACTAATTTATAAAGAGCTAAGTGAGTGCTCAGATAATCAAATAATCACCCATGGAGAAGTTCAAATCTCTTGCAGAAGTTCAGATCTCTGTTGGAGCATGTAGCCTAGATTTAACCTCCAGTGGTGCCTTTAACTTTGTCCTAAGTCTTAGGCTTGTGTCAACTGCTGGCCAGCTACATGGAGGAAATAAGTTGAGAAAAAGCAGGAAGCAACATGGCTGGGTCTACAGAGAAGATCCAAGTTTAGCTGTCTCATGCTCTTTGGGCCCAGAGGAGAGGAAAAGCAAGACAAAGTCTTAAACTTTCCACCAGATATCAAGACCTTGTTGATGTCCTAGAACATGACCAATCAGATTAATGATGGCTCTACCTGGGAAGAGTAGCTGAGAAAGGATTAAGTTGAGGCAGGCCTGGTGTGGGCAGATGTTGTTGAATGTTTCCCACTACCCCTTCCAGCCCACTGGAAGAATGGGTTTTTTAAAAAAACATACACTCAAGATGAGCTCTATTAGTCATTTCCTCATCTCACTTATTATTCCAGTTAAACCAAGGCTGAAGGACAGAAAGATCACAAACTTATTAATCTCTGGACAAACCTAGCTCAGGGCCAGAATCAGGAGGGTGAATCTCAGGAGGCTGTAACCCAACTGATTGCAAATAGGATTTTGGAATAACAGTTTCTGAGGTGTCACAAAGAACTGTCAGCCCTTGTGTCTGTTCTCTAATAGAATTTTTACTTTCTTCTATGATCCCAAATTTCATAAACTCATACTATAACTAGGAAGTAGGCAGAAATGTCCTTTTGATGAACCAAATAATCAGAAACTTTTCTAATAATCCTCTTTGTGTATTTTTCCAGCCACAGAACTGAGTCATTCATTACCCAAAGCTAAACCCTGCCTACATGGTAACGCTTTTGTAAATGGGATTCTTTCTCTCTGACATCCCTTTTTCCTGCAGTCCCTTATACCCTCTCAATACCAGTGTGGCTCAAGGGGCCTTCAGTTCTGTCCTAATTCAGTCTCACATTCAAGCTGCACCTCCTTAGGCACCAGAATGCGAGAGAAGGTTGTTCCTTCAGGGAATATTTTCTTTTGGCAGGGCCATGTCACTGAGTCAGGCTTACTAATTATGTCCCAAGGTGGGCTCAGCCTCTGGCCCTTCAAGGAGCTTAGAGAGCTCTGGAGAGCTAAAGGACGCAATTCCACTCAGTTCCCCTAGGGACTTGTTTTGTTACGACCCTGTAGCGGTTGCCGCCAGCCTCCCGTCCCCGGACAGCGCGCCTCTTTCCTCCGCGCGGAATCTCGCCTTGCCGAGAGGTGACAGCGTGGTGCCAGGCCTCGCTCGCTCTCCGCGCCTCCTCGGCCTCGGCGCCCACTCTGGCCGCGCTCGAGGAGCCCTTCAGCTTGCCGCTGCACTGTGGGAACCCCTCTCTGGGCTGGCGAGGCCGGCTCCCTGTTTGCGGGGAGGTGTGGAGGAAGAGGCGGGAACTCTCTTGCGGGCCAGTGCGAGTTCCGGGTGGGCGCGGGTTCCGGGGGCCCCACACTCGGAGCGGCCGGCCGGCGCCACCGCTCCGGGCAGTGAGGGGTTTAGCACCCGGGCCAGCAGCTACGGAGGGGGCGCTGGGTCCCCTACCGCTGCCGGCCCACCCGCGCCGCGCTCGCGTGCTTCAGCCGCCTCCTCGCGGGGCAGGGCTTGGGACCTGCAACCTGCCATGCCCGAGAATTCGCGGTGGGCTCCTGCGCCGCCGGAGCCTCCCCGACGATTGCCGCCCCCTGCTTCACGGCTTCCCGTCCCATCCACCGCCCAAGGGCTGAGAAGTGCGGGCGCACGGCGCGCGGGACTGGCGGGCAGCTCCGCCTGCGGCCCGGGTGCAGGATCCACCAGGTGAAGCCAGCTGGACTCCTGAGTCTAGTGGCGACTTGGAGAACCTTTATGTCTAGCTAAGGGATTGTAAATATACCAATTAGCACTCTGTATCTAGCTAAACTGGTGGGGACTTGGAGAACCTTTATGTCTAGCTAAGGGATTGTAAATACAGCAATCAGCACTCTGTGTCTAGCTCAAGGTTTGTAAACAAACCAATCAGCACTCTGTGTCTAGCTAATCTGGTGGGGACTTGGAGAACCTTTATGTCTATCTAAGGGATTGTAAATACACCAGTCAGCACTCTGTGTCTAGCTCAAGGTTTGTAAATACACCAATCAGCACTCTGTGCCTAGCTCAAGGTTTGTAAATGCACCAATCAGTGCTCTGTGTCTAGCTAATCTAGTGGGGACTTCGAGAACTTTTGTGTCTAGCTCAGGGATTGTAAACACACCAATCAGCACCCTGTCAAAACGGACCAATCGGCTCTCTGTAAAATGGACCAATCAGCAGGATGTGGGTGGGGCCAGATAAGGGAATAAAAGCAGGTTACCGGAGTTGGCCATTGTAATTTGTTTTGTCCTGTTTCACATTGTGGTGGTTTTATTTTTTACTATTAGCTGCTTGGATCTGCATTTTGTTTTGTGAGGTGTAACACTGTGAGGGCCTGTAGTTTCACTCTTGAGGTCAGCGAGGCCACGAACCCACCTGGAAAAACAAACAGTTCCAGATATGCCGCCTTAAGAGCTGTAACACTCATTGTAGAGGTCTGCGGTTTCACTTCTGAAGCTAGCTAGTCGACGAACCCACCAAAAGGAACAAACTCCAAACACGTCTGACTATCAGAAGGAACAAACTCCAGACACGTTTTTTAGAACTAACACCCTGAGGGTCTGCAGCTTCATTCTAGAATCATGCCAAGAACTCACAAATTTCTGACACATTGCTTTTCCGCAGGAGGTTGCGGGAAGACGTACAAGGAAGGGTCGGGATGGTGCTTGAGGTGGTCAGAGCCACACCCAGGGCTGCATTCTCATCAGAGACACCTCTAAGTTACTGCGAAGTCGGAGACACCAGAAAGGAAGACTCCAACGTATTCCGAGAGGAGTGGAGGCAAATGGGATAGACTAGCCCTCCCGCCCGGGATCCCGCGTCTCGGGGAACGGAGACCCGGGCACACGCCACTTGCTTGCTGGGAGGTTCCTTACAAGTTACATAGAGGGGGAGCTTTTCCTGGCCAAACGTGGGTTATTCTCGTTCTCCCTTCCCCACACTGTCGCAGAGGAGGAAGACGTCTTGGTCGCCGTTAAGAGCTAAAACGAACGCCAAGGCTCTAAGTGGCCCTGGGGTCCAGGCTCGCCGGAGGCACCAGCGTGTGCAGGCCCGGAGCGCCGTCTTCTGGGCGAGGAGTGTCATTAGTAACACTTTATGTTGCGGATAGGTGAAAGAAAAACTGACGCTTCGGAGATGGGGTTGCCCAAAGAGGAAGAGAGAACAGCGATTAGGGCCTTAAACCTCACACCCGAACAAATTCGGCCGGAGTTACTGAGCGGCAGGCTCTCTGATGGAGATGGGTGCTTTCAGACTTAAGACGTGAAAACAAAGATCAGCCACTCATGAACGAACTCAAGGCTCACTGAGATGCAACTGCCATGAAGAAGTGGGTGCAGGGTGAGAGGTCTGTCTACCTCCTTAGAAGGACCACTGTGGCTTGTGCAGAGATCCGAAGTTTGTTCTCATTACAATGGGGACGGTGAGTGCTAGTAATGTGGACCATTTTTCAATAGCGCCACCTTGTGGCAGTGACAAAATGGCCGTAGTGGACTTGGGCTCAGGTGCTTTCTTGAGTGTGCAAACTGGTAAGAACTAATTTTTTGAATCAGATTTGGGGATTATTCAGGCAGAAGGGGATCCCTAAATGGAAACACTGACATTTTAATACTGCAAGTGGGGGATGATGAACAGACAAATAACAAGCAATGGGGGGCCACATTTGTGTTCAGAATTCATGGAACTTTTTTTTTTGATTTTTCTATTTCTCATTTTTTTAATGTATGTATTTTGAGGGTACATGTAATATTTTGATACATAACGTATAAAGGTCAAAGATAAGGATAATTTGTGTGTGTGTGTATATATATGTATAAACTTAAATGTCCTTTTTGCTTGGAACGTTCAAATTTTTTTCTAGTTATATCTAAATATATATCAAGCAATCTTTTAGATATTTTGAAATGTCTAACATTATTTTGAGACAGAGTCTAGCACTGTCACCCAGGCTGGAGTGCAATGGCGTGATCTCGACTCACTGCAACCGCTGCCTCCTGGGTTCAAGCGATTCTCCTGCCTCAGCCTCCCAAGTAGCTGGGATTACAGGCATACGCCATCACACCGGGCCAATTTTTATATTTTTAGTAGAGGCGGGGTTTCACCATGTTGGTCAGGCTGGTCTTGAACTCCTGACCTCGTGATCGGCCACCTCTGCCTCCCAAAGTGCTGGGATTACAGGCGTGAGCCACCGCGCCCAGCCAGAAGTGTCTAATAGATTATAGTCACCCTACTGATCTATTGAACTCTGGTTGTCTTTCTTCTACCTAATTGTATACTTATACCGTTTAACCAACCTCTCTTTATCCCACGTCTTCCCTCCTCTTTCCAGGCCCTGATAACCACCATTGTACTCCCTAGCTTCATGAGATCTTCTGTTTTAGCTCCCACATAGGAGTGAGAACATGCAGTATTCATGAATCACACTCATCATGAGCGATCTTCTTGGTTGTTGAATTGGGGTTGCTAGTTATTTTGAGAATTTTTGTATCTATGTTCATCAGGGATTTTGGCCTGTAGTTTTGTTTTTGATTTGATTTCTGACACAGATTTTGCTGTATCCTTGTCTGGTTTTCACATCAGGGCAATGCTGGCCTTGTAGAATGAGTTTAGAGGAATACCCTCCTCTTCAATTTTTTTTAAAAGAGTTTGAGTAGAATTGGTATCAGTTCTCTAAATATTTGCTAGAATTCAGCAGTGAGGCCATAATGTCCTGGGCTTTTCTTTGATGAGAGACTTTATTAAGGCTTCAATTTCATTACTCATTATTGGTTTGTTAGGGTTTCTATTCATGGTTCAATCTTAGTACGTTGTATATGTTTAATAATTTATCCATTTTTTCTATGTTTTCCAATTTGTTGGTGTATAGTTGTTCATATTCTCTGATTCTTTGTATTTTTGTGGTCTGTTATATCTCTTTTTTTTTCTTTCTGATTGATTTATTTGGGTTTCTCTTTTTTAGTCTAGGGAAAGGTTTGTTAATTTTGTCTATCTTCAAAAAATCAACTTTTCATTTCATTGATCAAATGTATTTATGTTTTAGTTTCAATTTCATTTATGTCTGTTCTGATATTTATTTCTTTCTACTAATTTTGGATTTGGTTCATCCTTGCTTTTTTGAGTTCCTTGAGATCCATTTTTAGGTTGATTATTTGAAGTCTTTTCCCTTTTTTGATGTAGGTGTTTATTGCTATAAAGTTATTGTTATGCTGTATTCTGTAGGCTTCGGTATGTTGTATATCTATTTTCACTAGTTTCATGAAATTTTTAAAATTTTCTTAGCTTATTCATTGACCCATTGGTTGTAGGAGCATGTTGATTTCCATGTGTTTGTATAGTTTCCAAGGTTCCTCTTGTTGATTTCTGGTTTTATTCCATTGTGATCAGAAAAGATACTTGATATAATTTTTACTTTTTTGAATTTGCTGAGACTTCTTTTGTGACTTAAGATATGGTCTGTTCTGGAGAATGTGCCATGTGCAAGTGAAAAGAATGTGTACTCTGTAGCAGCTGGGTGAAATGTTCTATAAATGTCAGGCCTACTTGGTCTAGTGTGTAGCTTAATTCCAATGTTTCTTTATTGATTTTCTCCCTGGATAATCTGTTACTGAAAGTGAGGTGTTGAAGTCCCTACTATTATTATATTGGAGCCTATCTCTCCCTTGAGATTTATTAATGTTTGTTTTACATATTTGGATGCTCTGGTGTTGGGTGCACAGATATTTATAATTTTTAATATCCTCTTGATGAATTGACCCCTTCATCATTATATAGTGACCTTTTGTCACTTTTTACATTCCTTGACTTGTAGTCTGTTTTATCTGATATAAGTATACCTAATCCTGTTCTCTTTGATTTCCACTTGCATGGAATATCTTTTTCCATAAATTCACTTTCAACTTATGTATGTCCCTATAGGCAAGGTGGGTTCTTGTAGCACCACATAGTTGGGTCTCGTCTCTTTACCCATTTAACTTCTATACATCTTTTAATTGGAGAATTTGGTCCATTTATATTCAGTGTTATTATTGATAAGTAAGGACTTATGACTGCCATTTTGTTGCTTGTTTTCTGGTTGTTTTGTAACGTCTTTCTTCCTTTATTCTTTTGCTACTGTATTTCTTTGTGGTTAAGTTATTTTCTCTGGTAGAATGCTTTAATTCACTGCCTTCTATTTTTAGTGTATTAATTACAGATTTTTGCATTGGGGTTACCATGAGGCTTACAAAACATATCTTATAGCTACTTTGTTTTATTATTACTTATTATTCTGATACAGGGTCTCTGTCACCCAGGCTGGAGTGCAGTGGTGAGATCTTGGCTTACTGCAGCCTCTACCTTATTGAACTCAGGCAATCCTCCTACCTCAGTCTCCTGAGTAGCTGATACCATAGACACATGCCACCATAGCCAGCTAAGTTTTGTATTTTTTGTAGAGATGAGGTTTTGCCATGTTGCCCAGAGTGGTTTTGAACTCCTGAGCTCAAGTGATTAGCTAGCCTTGGCCTCCCAAAGTGCTGGGATTACAGGCATGAGCCATGGCGCGCAGCTGATATTTTACAAAGATGACAACTTAACTTTGATCACAAAGAAAAGACTAGAAACAAACAAAAAAACTTAAATAACCCCCACAAAACCCTGCCCTTTAACTCTATACCCCTACATCTTGACTTTTTGTTGTCTCGGTTTACATATTTTTATATTGTCTATCTCTTAGCAGGTCACTGTAGCAATTATTGTTTTTGATAGGTTTGTCTTTTAGATTTCATACTACAGTTATAAATGGATTGCACACCACAATTAGAGTATTAGAGTATCCTGGGTATGTCTTGTACTTAATGTTACCAGTGGTTTTTTTCCTCAAATATTTTCTTTATGCATGTTAGCATCTTTTTCTCTTAGATTGAAGGACTTCATTTGCCATTTATTTTAAGATAGGCCTGGTGGTAGTGAATTCTCAGCTTTTGTTTGTCAAGGAAAGATTTTATGTCTTCTTCATGTTTGAAGAATAGCTTTTCTGGTACATTAATCTTGGATGGCGGTTTTATTTCTTTTAGCACTTTGAAAATGCCATCCCACATCTACCTGGCCTGTATAGTTTCCATTGAGGAGTCTGTTGCCAGAATAATTGGAGCTCTTTGTATGTTATTTACTTCTTTTCTCTTGCTGCTTTTATTTTTTATTTTATTTTATTTTTTTTGAGACTGAGTTTTACTCTTGTCACCCAGGCTGGAGTGCAATGGTGCTATCTCGGCTCACTGCAACCTCTGCCTCCCGGGTTCAAGCGATTCTCCTGCCTCAGCCTCCTGAGTAGCTAGGATTACAGGCACCCACTACCATGCCCCACTAATTACTGTATTTTTAGTGGAGACAGGGTTTCACCATGTTGGCCAGGCTGATCTCGAACTCCTGACCTCAGGTGATCCACCTGCCTTGGCCTCCCAAAGTGCTGGGATTATAGGCATGAGCCATGGTGCCCAGCCAACTTTTGTAATCCTCTTTGTCCTTGACCTTTGAGAATTTGATTATTGTATGTCTTGGGGTGGTCTTATTTGGGTTGAATC
Source organism: Homo sapiens (assembly GCF_000001405.40). Lineage (NCBI taxonomy): Eukaryota > Metazoa > Chordata > Mammalia > Primates > Hominidae > Homo > Homo sapiens. The sequence goes on from NT_167245.2 coordinate 286,999, forward strand.
TGTTTCATGTTCTCTAATCTTGTACCTAGATACTTATATATTTCTTAAGTTTGGAAAGTTTTGAGTTATTTCTTTGGATAAGCTTTCTAATTTTTGCTCTTTCTGAATTCCCTCTTGAGCACCAATCATTCTTAGATTTGTCCTTTTGAGGTACTTTTCTATATTATTTAGGTGATCTTCATTCCTTTGTATTCGTTTCCCTTTTTTCTCCTCTAACTGTATTTTCAAATAGCCTGTCTGAGTTTACTAATTCCTTCCACTGTCTGATCCATTCTGCTGTCGAGAGTCTCTAATAAATTTTTCAGTTTGACAAGTATATTTCTCAGTTCCAAGATTTTTGTTTGATTTTAAAAAATTATTTTAATCTCTTTGTTAAATTTCTCTGATAAATTTTTGAATTGCTTTTGTGTGTTATCCTTGAGTTCACTGAGTTTCTTTAAAACTGCTATTTTGAATTCTTGGTGAGAGAGCTCACATACCACTGTCTTGCCTAGGGTAAGTCATTGGTTCCTTGCTTTGTCTGTTTGGGGAAGTCATGTATATTAGTCTGTTCTCACACTGCTATACAGAAACACATGAGACTGAGTAATTTATAAAGAAAAGAGGTTTACTTAGCTCATGGTTCTGCAGGCTGTACAGAAAGCATGACAGCATCTACTTTTTTTTCGCCCTCTTGGTCTTGCCTTCTTTCTGACATCACATGGAGTCTGCAGTCCAGGTTTTCCTTGGCCCTAGTAAATGACTGGAGCACTGCCGGACCCAAATGTAGAAGGTCTTACGGGGGATATCCCAATAGGGTGGGAAGTCTGGCTAGAATTTCGTGCTCAGGGAACCTGTGGAACATACCTCCTATGGTGTGTCGCTGCTGACCAGCTTCGCTGATTTGGCGTCTCCTTTGGCTGAGTTAAAGAAGAGTGTTTCTAGGGTTGGGGAAGGAAGTCCCACCTCCCCACTTTTTCTCTGGTTGTCTTTGGGAATATTTCTCCCTTTAAGTACTTAGGGACAGATCTCTTGCCAGGGAATCCAAGATGGTGGGGAAACTGGTTATCCACTTCAATCTCACTTTTTCCAGTGTAGAAACTGGCGGTGAGGTGGGGGAAGTTTTCCACATGCTTGGTGCTAGGCAGATTTGGGAGAGGGATGTCACGGATTTGGAAGTCTGATTCTTACAGCGTCTGCTTGAAGTTTTTTACTTCTTTGTTGCCACGGGCACTGTTCCATCTTCATATTTGAGTTCTGGGATATTGCTGGTGATAATCTCAGCACCGTGTATTTGTTGTAGGTTTTCTGTGGAGGAAAAATAAAGCCAGCTTCCTTATATGCAGCCATTTTGGAACCAAACTCTCACACATTCCATGGAACATTTCTAGCCAGCAAGGTACAATGACTAGCAAGGAAACAAACTTTTTTTTTCCTTCAGTATTTCAGTTGACTCACAAGAACATGAAATGTGACCTATCTTTTCATGTGGCCAACTTTAAATGTTAACTTAATATCTTAGATAAAAATAGTTTAAAATACACATCCATTTAAGTTAAAAAGAATAATTTAAAGTTTTATTATTCTTTGATAGTTTTTCTTTTGATGCTACACCTAGTGACTACCATATTTTAAAACAGACATGTTCTAATTGCTCTTGAATCTTCAACTCGAAAGAAACTATGGTTTTATAAATTAGTGATAACAGTGAGTGTCCTCTTTAAAAAATATCTGCCATTTCTGACAAATGACAAATAGCTGATATTATTTTTTCTTAAAAGGAACTCTATTCTTTTAACATACAGTCTCTCTTGTTTAATAAAACTGAAAGTAAAGAATAGATAGAAATAGTCCTACCTCAGTTCAGGTCAGGTTTTGTTGCCAACAGAGTTATGAAAACTTTTAGTTTTCTACCTGGGTGTGGTAGCTCTCACCAGTAATACCAGCTACTTGAGAGAACTGCTTGAGGCCAGGAGTTTGAGACCAGCTTGGGTAACATAGTGAGACCCTGTCTCAAAGAAAAAAAGGAAAGCTTTTAGTTTTCTGACCATTTTATTTTTGTTTATTTTAATTTTTTTATTTCAATAGGGTTTTGGAGGGACAGGTGGTGTTTCCTTACATGAATAAGTTCTTTAGTGGCGATTTCTGAGATTTTGGTGCACCCATCATTTGAGCAGTGTACACTGTACACAGTGTGTAGTGTTTTATCCCTCACCAGCCCCCACCCTTTTCCCCGAGTCCCCAAAGTCCAATGTATCGTTCTTATGCCTTTGCATTTCTGACCATTTTAGATTCAGAATTATGGATAAGGGATTTTCAGCCTATACTGATCATGTCTAGAAGTTCTGTTTGTTTCTTTAAAAAAAAGTTCATGTAGCAGCAGATAACTAATACAACCAGAAATAAATGAGATATTGTTTCCTCAAATTCTTTTTTTTTTTTTTTGAGATGGAGTCTTGCTCTGTTGCCCAGGCTGGAGTGTAGTGGTGCAATCTCGGCTCACTGCAACCTCTACCTCCTGGGTTCAAGCCATTCTCCTGCCTCAGCCTCCGGAGTAGCTGGGACTACAGGTGCCCACCACCACGCCCAGCTTACTTTTTCTATTTTTAGTAGAGATGGGGTTTCACCATATTGGCCAGGCTGGTCTTGAACTCCTGACCTTGTGATCTGCCCACCTCAGGCTCCCAAAGTGTTGGGATTACAGGCGTGAGCCACCATGCCCAGTCACAAATTCTTGATACTATATTATGTTATTGTTACCAGGCAAAAGGGGCTCACTGCTGGATGTGCTAGAAGCTAATACTATGACACTGGATTTCTAAGAAAAGAAAAGCTCTTTATTATAGGTTGACCAATAAGGAGACAGGAATCTAGCTCAACTGTATCTCCCTGTGCTGGCTTTAAGATAGTAATTTTATTAGAAAAGGTTTGCGGGTGGATTCTGGGATTAGCAGGTGGTTGGTGGAAGGAAAAGGGAGGTCTAGAAAGTCCTCAAATGCACAGTTATCTCCATTCCTCTTCATGGGTCCCACATGCAAATTCAAAGGGAGTTAGTATGAAACATGCAGTGGAAATCGGGCTGTGACATTAACAAGCTTGTTCTGTGCAAACTCCATTTGGTCATGTTGGTTCCAACTAATTTTGGACACTCTTGTTATCTCACAAATGGAGGGAATTTCAGCGTTTCAGCAAGTTATTTATTTTCTTATCTGCTATCTGGCAAACTCAAGATTTCTGTTAGTTATTGGTTTCCTATTCTTTGGGGCACAATTTCAGTTTCAACTTTTCAGCAAGTTGTTTCTTTTTTTATATACTATCCTATAAACTCAAGAATTTTATCATTAAAAAAACTCTTTGGGGCATGATTTTTTCATCAAACTTAAAAAAAAAATCCCCAATATAACAGAGAATTTCCAGCATTTTAACCTGAAACTGAAGACCATTACTGAATGCAGTTTTCAATTGCCAATCTAGAAGTTTACTAATTCTGTGTATTGGATGTGCATATCCTTGTCAATCATTTTGGCCTAAGGGAGTCTTTCTTTTAATCATCTTTTCAAATAGGAAAAAGCACCAAATTAAGTGTTTTCTCAAACTTTTTCATTATAGTTATTTCATTTCTAACAAAATTTTAGTGCCACAGTTATATTGTGTAACTGCTTATGTACAGAGGCTCTTTGGAGGACCACCAACCATTGTAATACCAAAGATTTTTGCTACCTCCCCTTGAATCAATTTTGCCCCTGTGGGGATGATATCATCCCTGATATGAAGGCATATATTGAGAGAAATAAGACAAACTATTAAACCAAATTTTAATAGATGACAGTACTTTAAAAGAAAATTAATTTAAAAATTTAGTCATTTCTGGGATAAGATAATGAGCAATTTCTTTTATTTCTCTTATTTTCTAGTTTCCATTATGTACTTATATATACCTCTAGGGGATGTTGTAAAGATTCTATAATATTATGTATGTATTCTATAATATGTATGTGAAAGAAAAACTGTATCTTTTCCTTTGCTAACTCATAGATGTTTAAATATATTACATTTTAGGTGTTAGATGATTTATATATCTTCAGTGTTAACACAAACTGAAGATATTGCTCTAATATTCATCACCCAATGAGAATTTGTGATATTCTGCAGATTTGGTAACATTTTCATGGAGATTTAATAAAAAACATTGACATATTCATTCTACAGACATTTATTGGCTATGTAATTCATGTCAGAAACTGATTCGACACAGCAAAATCACGTGAATAAGAAGGTCTATATTGTTGAAAAGCTTACCAATGCATCTTCTTCAAACACACATACAAACAACTAAATAAAAATGGGATAATGCCCTATACTTATATGGTCAGGGTTTTCAAGGACTATAGACCATAGACTGATGAGATTCATAAATACTTTTCAGTTGAGACAAGATTTCAGCAGGGTATGAAGGTTGAATAGAAGGTTTTTAAGTGATAAATGCCTAGCAAGATTTAGGATCACTCATTTTTAACAAAGGAAAATTGATACTCTTTTTTAGTGGCCACAATTTTATCATTCTATACTTTTGTCTTTCTTCCATAGTCCTTATGACACCATGAAGTTTACAGTGTCTTCATGCTTTCCTTATCCTGATTTCACTGTCCTCTCTCATATTTTTTTATGTTTACCAAGGTATGTACAACTGACAATTTTAGAGTCATCTGCAAAGAAAAGATAACTATTAGGTACTGGGCTTAACACCTGGGTGATGCAATAAGATGTATAATAACCCCCCATGACACGTGTTTATGTAACCTTCACATGTACCCCCAAACCTAAAATAAAAGTAAAAGAGGAATCAAAACCTTGAAATAAAGGTATGATGTTCTTGCTGTGGAAATTTAGAAGCCACAGGGTTTAAGGATTGTAGAGACATCATAAGCCCTATTACTCCCATCTTCCTACTCAATTACTTCATGTAAGCTGTGGCTTACTCTGTCTTTGAAATGACATAGCAAGGGCACTATAGATATGGGGAATCTTTCACTTGCAGAGAGGATTTTCAATCTCTGAAATGGCTGATTTGCAGAGAAGTGGAGTCGTTTATTCTCTAGCACAGGGATTTCCAGATTTTGAATGTATTTACCAGTAAAACAAAGTAAAGCAAAGTAAAAACATAAGCTTGCTAAATTTTCTTTTGTCATTTAAGAGCACCAAGCTTTGAGCGTGAATGTGCTTTGGATAAATGAATTGATTTCACTTCTCTTGATAAATGCCAATATTTCTTTAGTGCTCTACATTCTACTTTTTTCCATCTAATTCATGATTCTGCTGAAGATTTTTTCATCCACAGTATTCTCTTCAGTGCACTCTTTACATCTTTGTTTCTTAAAGTGTAGATGGGAAGGTTAAGGCTGGGTGTGATGATTGTGTAAAAGAGTGAAGAACTTCCCTTCATCTTGGGATATGGTATTCTGTGGCTTCATGTATATATAAATGATTGTTCCATAAAACAGAATTACTACTGTGAGGTGGGAGCCACATGTATTAAGGATCTTTTGCAACCTTGTTGCTGACTTGATCCTCATTACAGCTTGAGTGATAACTCCATATGAGATAAGAATTAGTGATAGAGGTACGAAAAGAAATACCACTCCGAAAGCAAAGACAACAATCTCAATTACTTTTGAATAGACACAAGCCATCTTGATCAATGCTGGCATCTCACAGAAAAAATTATCCACTTCCCGGTGCCCACATCTTGGCAACTTCAAAGTCAAGGAGCAAACAATTAAGGCACTGGCAAGACCACTCAACCAGGCAGTGGCAAAGCTGAGGGTGCATTTTAAGGTGTAGTGAAGAGGTTGACAGACAGCAGCATAACGATCATAGGCCATCACAGCCAACAGAAGACATTCTGTGGCTCCCAAGTCAAGGACAAAAAAGAATTGGAGTACACACCCTCCATAAGTAATAGATTTTTTTGGGCCCCATTGATTTGCCAGCATCTGGGGGATAATGCTAGTTGTATAACAGAGGTCCAAGAAAGACAAATTGGATAAGAAAAAATACATGAAGGTATGGAGCTGGGTGTCTAGATAAGATACAAGAATGATGGTTGTATTTCCTACCAGAGTCACAATATAGATGATGAAGACAACCACTGAGATGATGTGCTCTAATTGGGGTCGATCAGAAAACCCCAGAAGGATGAAATCTGTTCCAGAACTTACACTGCTTGTTTCCATTGTTCCTTAAGAAAAGCTAGCAGGCAATATCATGGTAACCAAAAATAGTGTCAGGTTTAGGTAGAACTGAAAATCTCTGAAGTTTCTCAAGGGTATCCAAAACTCTCTTATTTGCATGCTCTCTCTCATTTGGAACATCTCTTTTAACATTTCCCTATGGCCCAGTGCTCACAACTTGTTCATATTTAATCCAAAATTAATAATATGCTAAATCCAATCAGGCTGAATTGTAAATCATTGAAAAAACTTAATTTGCTATGTCATTCATTGTTCTATGTATTTCAATTAAGTAATAAAATCATGAAGTCAATTATGTGATTTTAAGAGAGGCATATGTATTGAGGAGTTGTTCCTCTTTGAAGCTATGACATAAGCATCACTTGATCATGATAAATCCTTGCATTATTGAAGGAGTTAAGCTTGAGGTAAAAAGTTAAATGACATCTTTTTTTGGAATAAACTCCACCATTTGATAGCAGAATCACTTTCAATATTTACTTGCAAATATCTACATTTCAGCCATTATAATTATAATTATCCTCACCACCAACTTACTCCTCCTCCTTATATTTTTTTTACCCCTCAACATTGCAGGCACTGTTGTTATTCTATCAATTTTGGTGTTCCCTACTACACTGCCTTTTTTTGTGAGTGTGTTTTTTGTTGCCAGGAAATAATTATCTTTCTTATTAATATTTACTTACATGTATAAAGGCCTATATGTTTTTTAAACAGCTTTAATGACTAATATTACACCATCTAAACAGCCTTACTGATTTGTTGCAGTTAAATATTGAGGTAATTCCAGAACTATTTGGCCACCACGTACAACGATCTGTGTCCAATCCTACTTACCAGCCATTCAGCAGAATTAGCTGGGCGCTGGGCAGGTAATTCAAACAAAAAGCAGTTCATTAAATAGCCAGAGTTGTTTTAATCTATGGAATTTACCAATCCAACATGAGTGGATGTTCTGATTGCTTTGAAATCCTTTAGGTAAAACCATCACCCCATTGGGCTCTAAAAGAATACAGATACAGATAAAAATGTCATCAATCTCACCATTTCTGATTATTGTATCATATCACTAAGTAGACAAAATATTTAATGACTGACTGAGTTAGTTTTTTTTTGTTGTTGTTGTTTGTTTTTTTTAAAGATAGATTCTTGCTCTGTTGGCCGGATGCAGTGGCTCATGCCTGTAATCCCAGCACTATGGGAGGTTGAGGTGGGCGGATCACTTGATGTCAGGAGTCCAGACCAGCATGGCCTACGTGGGGAAAAATTTTGTATTTTCTACTAAAAATACAAAAATTAGCTGGGCGGTGTGGTGCGTGCCTGTAGTCCCAACTACTTGGGAGGCTAAGGCAGGACAATTGCTTGAACCTGGGGGCGGAGGCCACAGTGAGCCGAGATCGCACCGCTGCACTCCAGCCGGGGCGACAGAACGAGACTCTTGTCTCAAAAAAACCAAACCAAACAAAACAAAAATCTTGCTCTGTTGCCTAGGCTGGAGTGCGGTGACACAGTGACAGCTCATTGCAGCCTGGACCTCCGGTGCTCAAGTGATCCTCTCAACTGAGCCTCCTAAGTAGCTGGGACCACAGATGCATGCCACTGTGTCCAGGTAATTTTTAAATGTTTTTGTAGTGATGAGGTCTCACCATGTTGTTCAGGCTGGTTTGGAACTCCTTGGCTCAAGCAATCCTCCTGCTTCGGCCTGAGCCCTGGTGTCGAGCTAATGGCTGAATTAGTTTAAACATTTTTTCTGCTGATAATTTCTGACCACGAAATTCAGACCTACCATACTTTACATTTATAGTGTCCTTGAGGCCATGGAATAGAAACCTCATTTGTTTCTGGTATATAGTAAAACAAGGGGAAGATAGATCATTTATATATGTCATTGTTATAAGTGTTTCAGTTAGAACAGAATAATGTTATAATCATAAAGAAGGAAATGTTATCAAGTAGTATGAGATAGAGGTGTAGTTTTTCACAGCACAAAAATGGAAATCTAATTAATAAGTGTCCAGTTTTTTTATTTTTCGCAATAGGTTGTCAACTAAGGAATGATAGTGCTTCATTGCACAGATTCTGAACTCAAAGTCCCTGGCATCAAATTCCAGCTTCACCACTTGGAAGCTGTATCCTTGGGCAATTATTTAACTTGTTTGTGTAGGAGGTTCTTTATACATGAAGAAAATATAATAAAATTTCCTTCCTCAAAGGGATGTTGTGAGGGTTAATATTTATAAAAGCACTTGGAACTGAGCTTGGTTCATCTTTAATTCTAAAAATGATAACCTATATTCACCTGTCATTGTTATTCTGTCTACCCCTTAGTCCATTAATTTTTCACACTAGTGATTTTACCGCAATGACCTAGAACTAAACTGGAATGTTTTTTAAAAAATTTGTGTAACTTTAAAATTTAGAAACATTTTTATATACACAAAAATATGCAGAATCACAATATGCACATTGAACTGAAAAGCTTCAGGAGCAGGAGATGACTTGAGGTCTCCAAATGCTTTGATTAAAAAATTCACTCAAATTCTTTTGACTGCTGTTGGGTTTGTGTTGGGAATTAAAAGGTCATGAATTTCAAAGTGGAAAAAAACCTCAGAAGTCATGAATCTAGCCTTCTGCTCTGCATAGGAGATCCTTCAACAGAATCGCTACACAGCTGCTACTGGCATAACTTCAGTGACAGGGAAGTCAATTACACTTGAAGCAGCCTCTCTCCTTTAGTCAATGCTGCTTATATTGAACTCAAAGATGATTCCTTGCCCAGCCCTGGCTGATTTTCTTTATTCTGAAAATAACACAGAGTAAGTCAATTTAACATGGCCTCATAAAAACCCCAGTATTATTATATGAACAGTGCATGGATACAACAAATAAAAAGTAAAGCTTGGTGAGTTTCAGTGTATATTCTTGTAACTATCACCTAAATCAATAAATAAAACATTGATGATTACCCTAGGAGCTTTTCTTTGTGCCTTTTACCAATGATAACTCTTCCCTATCCCCTGAAGTATCCACTATGCTGCTATTTATAGTAATCCCCTCTTTGCATGTTAGTAGGTTAATTACCCAAATGTGCACCTCTAGACAATATTGTATAGTTTGGCTTACTAAAAATTTTTTATATACCTTTTAACTCTCTTTTAATATTAGAAACTGTTACCAAATATATGCTTAGATTTCTCTTCCCAGACAAAGCACATTGTTAGCTGTTCCTACCACTACATGCTCTTTTATTACCATGCTTTTTCTTGTTGCTCTCCCTGGACACACCATGATTTGTCAAGTGCTGCAAATTAGTGAGTATAAAAGTAAGCACGATACTCCACTTATGCAACACTACTGAAGAGAATAGTGAATGTCTATGATCTGCATAATTTTCTAAAATATACGTTGGTTATTTTTAGCAGGTATAAGACATTACTGGCTCTCTTTAAACTTTGGATCACGTAAAGCCCTAGGCATTCTTATTAGAAATGCTGCCAAGTCAGGCATGACAATTTATGTAGTTTAATGTTGTGAACTCAAATACAGGACTTTTCATTTAATACTTTTTAACATTTTCATATTGATTTAAGCTTTGGATCTCAAACCAGATATTTTAATTTCAATTTAAAAGTGAATGTGTTATTTGAAATGAGACTTACAACACTCCAGCTGAAGAAATAGATGGCAAAAAAGAGGCATGCTACATTTTAATCGAAACTCAGTTTTTCATTTTTCATAGTATGGACTTCAGAGCCCAATAATCGCGCATAACTTAACATTTTGCTTTCTCCAGTGAAATCTGAGACAAATGAACCAAACATATTTCAACATAATTTATGATATTGAGAGAAAATTAGAAGCACAAAATTTCAAAACTGTCTAAAATTTTATAAAAAGTAAAAATATATGGATCTTTTATTATAAAGCATGAGGTATATTGCTGTAGTCATACAAAATTCAAGATGAAAGGACGAAATAAAAATAGGTAAGACCCTAGACTGGTTCAGACCGCCTGTGATTTTTGTTACAATTGATCTCAGCCATTTCCTTACTCTGTGGACTTGAGCAGGCTAATTAACTTCTTTAGCCTCTGATTCCTCATCTGTAAAATAGCTATTCTAATAGCACCTGCTTTGTAGGATGGCTATGAGGAGGATTACATGCTATGCTAAATATTTAGCATGATGCTTGGTGCATAGAGAGCATTCAGTAACTTCAAAATCCACTAACTGCTCTTGTTGAAGTTTAATCCTCACTCCTGAGGATTAAATTTATATTTAATCCTCAAAATGTTAGTATTATTTATATCTCACATACCTTTCACATTTTTGCTTTCATGTTAGACTGAGTCTTACGCTATCTAGGATCTGTTTTCTACCTGGAGTCATCCTCTGTTAGAGATAGCAGAGAATACTTACCAGAAGCTGAAAAGATTAGAATATATTTTCATGAAGGAAGAATTCAGAGCTGTCATGTTCTCATGTAGTCCAAACATACCCATGTTCCCATTATGACGTTTCTTCATTTAATTAATAAATTAGAAAAAAATTCTTGTTGGATGAGTTACTAATGCCCTGAAGAATTGGATTAACCACTGGTCATACTGACACTACAGTGCCATTCACACTTAAATGCAACAGCTGAAATAAGATTTAATAGAAGTCTCTATTTAATGTGGATATTGGAAGTAAACTAAATGTGGGACTGGTGAAAATCCTTAATTAGGTTTGGTTAAATATATTTTCGGTTGGCTATTTGATGTCTTTTTAATGTATACTCTTGTTATTCATATTTACAGCTAGATTTTTGCCTAATTAAACAAGGAGAACACTGTGTTGGTCAATGTATATTCCAAGAATCATTAACATGTAGCAGGGAAGTATTTATTTACAGCTCTAAAGGCTACCTATGTTGATATGGTTTAGACCTTGAGGACTGATGCCCCACAGAGGTGATTAAGTAAAGCTATGACTGTGGTCAGAGGCATATCCAAATAATAATTTCATGAAAAGTTCTCTTAACACATTAGGTTTCGGCCAGGCACAGTGGTTCATGCCTGTAATCCCAGCACTTTGGGAGGCCAAAGCGGGTGGATCACCTGAGGTCAGGAGTTCAAGACCAGCCTGACCAATGTGGAGAAACCCCGTCTCTACTAAAAACAAAAAATTAGCCGGGCATGGTGGTGCATGCCTGTAATCCCAGCTACTCAGGAGGCTGAGGCAGGAGAATCACTTGAACCTGGGAGACGAAGGTTGCGGTCAGCCGAGATTGCGCCATTGCACTCCGGCCTGTGAAACGAGCGAAACTCTTGTCTCAAAAAAAAAAAAAAAAAAAAAAAAAAAGACGTTGGGTTTCATCTTTTCTTTTTCTTTTTAAGTTTTTAAATTTAAAAATTTGGAGATTAATTATATATTATATTAAATTTACATTGAAAAATGAATATATGATGTAAACTATATAAAAATGAACACATTTACTTGAAATTTGGTTTATTCAATTGGTAAGATCAAAATTGGATAAATTAAGTTATGTAGGTGTTGTGTCTATAGGACAAAATATTTAGTTTTAAAAAATTTATGGGATAATCATAATTCTAGGTTTATGAATTATTATCATCGTTCTATTTTCAGCAAATTAAAAATAGTATGAACACTCTGGAGCTTATCCCTCAATTTATGGTCTGGAAACTTACCACCATCCCCAGCTTCTGGTAATTACCATTCCACTCTCTGCTTCTATGAGTTTAAGTTTTTCAGATCCTCATTTAAATGAGATCATGTAGTATTTGCCTTTCTGTAACTGGCTCATTTAACTTAACATCATAGCTTCTAGGTTCATCCGTGTTGTTGGAAATGACAGGGTTTCCTTTTTTTGTTACGAGTGAATAGTACACCACATTTTCTTGATTTATTCATTCATTGATGAACACAAAGTTTGATTCCATATCTTTGCTATTGTGAATAATGCTGCCATAAACATGGGAGTGCAGACATCTCTTTAACATACTGATTTCAATTCCTTGGATATATACCCAGTGGTGGGATGGCTGGATCATATGGTAGTTCTATTTTTAATTTTTGGAGTAACCTCCACACTGTTTTATATAGTGGCTGTATTAATGTACATTCCCACTAACGGTGTGCAAGGGTTCCTTTTTTTCCCTACATTCTCACCAAGCTGTTATCTTTGCTTTTTATGACAATAGCCATTCTAAGAGTATGAAGTGATATCTCACTGTGCATTTAATTTACATCTCCCCATTGATTAGTGATGTTGAGCATTTTTCATATACATGTTGGCCATTTGTAGGTCTTCTTTTGAGAAATGTGTATTTGGGTCTTTTGCCCATTTTTATTTTCATTTTTAAAATTTTTAAATTATTTTATTTTATTTTTTATTTTTATTTTTGAGATGGAGTCTCTCTCTGTCTCCCAGGCTGGAGTGCAGTGACACAATCTCGGCTCACTGCAGCTTCCACCTCCCAGGTTCAAGTGATTCTTGTGCCTCAGCCTCCTGAGTAGCTGAGACTAGAGGCACGTACCACCATGCCTAGCTAATTTTTCTATTTTTAGTAGAGACGGGGTTTCACCATGTTGGCCAGGCTGGTCTCGAACTCTTGACCTCAAGTGATCCACCCATCTTGGCCTCCCAAAATTCTGAGATTAGAGATGTGAACCAACACAGCCAGCTCCATTTTAAAATAGAATTATGTTTTCTTGTTTGAGCTTCTTATATATTTTAGATATTAGCCCCTTATTAGATACATCATTTGCAAATATTTTCTCCCACTCCATAGGTTGTCTTTTCATTATTTTATTTGTTTCCCTGACTGTACAGGAGCTCTTTAATTTGATATAATCTCATTTATTTATATTTGCTTTTGTTGACTGTGCTTTTGAGGTCATATCCAAAAAATCATTGACCAGATCAATGTCATGGAGCATTTCTATGATTTCTTTTAGTAGTTTAATAGTCTTATGTTTAAGTCTTTAATGCATTTTGAGTTGATTTTTGTATATGGTTTGAGGTATGCATGTAATTTCGTTCTTCAACATGTGGATATTCAGTTTTTCAACACCGTTTATTGAAGAGACTGCCCTGTCCCCATTGTGTGTTCTTGGCACCTTTGTTGAAAATCAATTGATTGTAAATGTATGGATTGATTTTTACGCTATTTTGTTCCATTGGTTTTTGTGTCTGTTTTTATGCCAGTATCCTGTTGTTTTGATGACTATAGGTTCACAGTAGATTTTGAAGCCAGGTATTATGATGCCTCCCGTTTTTTTTTGTTTGTTTGTTTTTTGATTCAAGGTTACTTTGGCTATGGATTTTTGTGGATCCAGACAAATTTTAGAATCGTTTTTTCTATTTCTCTACAAAATGACATTGGTACTTGGATAGAGATTGCATTGAATCTTTATTTGGGGTAGTATAGGTATTTTAAAAATACTAATTTTCCCAATCCATGAACATGAGGTATTTTTCAATTTTTGTGTCTTTTGTAATTTTAAATATCAGTGTTTTATAGTTTTCAAGTGTACAAATCTTTCACCTCCTCGGTTAAATTTGCACCTAGTTATTTTAATTAATTTATTTTTTAATTATGATTGTTTACTTAATTTCTTCTCAGATGATTGTTAGTGCATAGAAACACTACTGATTTTTGTATATTGATTTTGTAACCTGTAACTTTACTGAATTTGTTTATTTGAATAGCTTTTTTTGTTGTTGGAGTTCTTAGGGTTTTCCAAATAAAGGATCATGTCATCAGAAGAGACAGTTTCACTTCTTCATTTCCAATTTGTATGCCTTTTTTTCTTTTTCTTGCCTAACTGCTCTGGCTAGGACATTCAGTACTATGTTGAACAGAAGTGGTGAGCGTGGGCATCTTTATCTTGTTCTGGATCTTAGAGGGAAAGCTTTCAACTTTTTATCATTATGATATTAGCTGTGGGCTTGTAATATATGGCTCTTATTGTGTTGGCAAAAATAGATTCTCAGAATATAATCTCCAGATTTTGTAATCCACTGATACAATTACATACTGATTACCTACTCTGTAATATGGAATTTAAAAAATTCCATGTGTGATTTTCTAACTCTATCATAGGTCGGTAACCTCTATACATCTGGAAAGGCTAGATGTGGCAAATGTTTCCTTGTAAAAGTTTTGGGGGAAGCTGAGAGCAGCTTTCTCACATTATACACGCAGGTCTCCTATAAACGCCGGTACATCCTCCCAAAGCGTGATGGGAATCTCCAAATCGCTAAATGTGTCCTGTTACTCCGTTTCTCTTTTCCCACATCAACGTCTGGTAGAAGGAAGGCCAACTGCCCCATGGTCGCTACCATTCCACCCGTCCTCATCCGGGACTTCGCTGACCTTCCGGCCGTTAAGGCTGTTGTCTGTTGTCATCAGGACCAGGTAGGTCTCACCCAATTGGGACAGAGAGGTCCCCCGAGGACAGCATCTGCGCGGCGCCGTGGCCTAAAGAGGAGGCCAGGCCTCTCCCTAACTCCGCCTTCGCGGGCCCTGCACCCCAGCAGCCTCTGCGTGTTTCTTCCCGCCCGGCACACCCGCGGCCATCCAAAGGTGCTGTGTGCCGGCGGCCACCAGGTCACCGAGGTGGGGTGGGGAAGACAGGTTCGCCGCTGCTTCAGGCCTGGGATCTCTGCTGGAACTCTCTACATTTTTTAATCAATTTAAAATTTATAATAATGTATGTTTTTTAGGTATTGTTTTTACTGACAAATTTTATTTCTAGATCTTTCATCAGTTTTCTCACGCTGGTCAACAAATAGGCCTTCATCACACACTAATTTGTAATGTCATTCTTTTCATATTTACTGTTGTAATGTAAAACACACTAGGGTCTGTTTTGAGGCAATGTTGTTTCAATCATATGCAAATCAAACTCTTTTTCTTTTTTGAGACAGAGCCTCACTCTGTCACCCGGACTGGAATGCAGTGGCACAATCTCTGTTCACTGCAGCCTCGGCCTCCCAGGCTCACGTAATCCTCCCACTACAGCCTCCCGAGTAGCGGGGACTACAGGCACAGGCCACCACGCCCGGCTATTTGTTTGTTTTTTGTGGAGACAGGGGTGTCTCACTCTGTTGCCCAGGCTGGTCTCCAACTCCTGAGTTCAAGCTATCCTCCTGCCTAGGCCTCCCAAAATGTTGGGATTACAGGCAGGAGCCACTGCTCTTGACCCCAAATCAAACCCTTAGTAATATTTGATAGTATTTCAGTGCTGGCCAGAGCAAATCCTTGCTTATTATTCGTTTATGAAAATGGCTTGACTCTTCTAAGCTGTAATTTGACCAAATAAATCTTGAAATAAATTTGTTACAATCCAAACACAATGCAGACAATTATTTGAAATGTCTGCATTTAAATTTATATTTAAAAGTTATTTTTTGAAGAATGTGGCATGTCTCATTTTATTTGTTTTTCCCTTTTTCTTGGTAAAGATTAATAATACCTTAAAAATGTTCAACATATGTTAAGTTCATCTTTATTGATATCATTTTATTTAATTGCTCATTGCTTATTGTTGTTAGGAGAGCTATATATGTATTTTTTAAATTAAATTTTTTTTTTTAACTTTTATTTTAGGTTTAGGGGTACATATGCAGGTTTGTTACTTGAGTAAATTGTGTGTTGCTGAGGTTTGGTGTTCAAATCATTTTGTCACCCAGATAGTGAGCATAGTACCCAATAAGTAGTTTTTCAATCCTCACCCTCCTTCCTCCTGCCACCCTCAGGTAGGCCCAGGTGTCTGTTGTTCCCCTCTTTGTGTCTGTGTGTACTCAATGTTTAGCTCATACTTATAAGTGAGAACATGTGGTATTTGGTTTTCTGTTTTTGCATTAATTCACTTAGGATAATGGCCTCCAGCTGCCATCCATGCTGTTGCAAGGGACATGATTTCATTCTTTTTATGGTTGCATAGTATTCTGTGGTGTATATATGTCACATTTTCTTTATCCAGTCCACCACTGATGGGCATCTAGAT
The DNA here is from genome assembly GCF_000001405.40 of Homo sapiens. Lineage (NCBI taxonomy): Eukaryota > Metazoa > Chordata > Mammalia > Primates > Hominidae > Homo > Homo sapiens. The sequence continues at coordinate 303,248 of NT_167245.2, forward strand.
TGATTCTATGTCTTTGCTACTGTGAATAGTGCTGTGATGAACATGCGAGTGAATGTGTCTTTTTGGTAGAACAATTTTTATTTCTTTGGGTATATACCCAGTAATGGGATTGTTAGGTCAAATGGTAGTTCTGAGTTCTTTGAGAAATCTCTAAACTGTTTTCCACTGTGGCTAAACTAATTGAAATTCCCACCAGCCGTGTGTAAGTATTCCATTTTCTCTGCAACCTCACTAACATCTGTTATTTTTTGACTTTTTAATAATGTCCATTCTGACTGGTGTGAGATGGTATTTCATTGTGGTTTTGATTTGCCTTTCCCTAACGATTAGTGATACTGAGCATGTTTTCATATGCTTGTTGGACATGTGTATGTCTTCTTTTGTGAAGTGTTGGTTCATGTCTTTGCTCATTTTTAAATGGGGTTGTTTTTGCTTGTTGATTTGTTTAAATTTCTTATAGATTCTGGATATTAGACCTTTGTTGGATGCTTAATTTGCAAATATTTTCTCCTATTTTGTAGGTTGTCTGTTTAATCTGTTGGTAGTTTCTTTTGCTGTGCAGAAGATTTTAAATATTTATTCTGTATATTTCTTTTTCACGGAGTCTATAGGGATTTCTAATAACATAATTTTTTTGTGTTAAAAATGGAGTGGATTCTGTTATCTTAAAATAATGATAGTTTTCTTTCTTCTTATTTTTTGGGGGATATACCTGTATTTTTCAGCTAATGTAAAACAACAGAGTAGAAACTCTAGTTGATATTTGCTCTTAAGCATTTTAGTTCAGAGGGACTAAAAGCAAGGTGCAACAAATTAAGAAGTAATGAACAGTGTCTAATGAGAAAAATAGAGTGTGTTTTGAACTAGCCTAACCCAATTTGGTCATGCTCAGCAACAGGGTCATTTTTGGTAGTTAATCATAGTGGCTGAAAAAGGTGAAGTGGGCGTATGGTTAGCATTTACCACCACAATCCTATGTCCCAGTTATGATGAAAATGACTCTGATCAAATTCTGCCATGAATATAGAGATTAGTTAACCAGACATTAGCATAAGACAGTTTATGTCATCTTCTCTGTAAATTTAATAAATCCTCAGCTCTCTGCCCTTTAAAATACTCCAAAGTACCTTGTAGAAAGGTGTATTTGAAGAAGATAAGACAACAGAGGTAGGGTTTTACTTTCATGTCAGCATTGAGAAAGTGGAACTTATCCATAGTAGGACACAGGCCCATTTAGGGAACAAGTCTTGGGCACTACCCCTAAAGTTTAGGCTACACATCTTGCTAGGTTCTTATGCCCTTCATAGAAGAATAGGGAATGTTTCTAAAATATGTTAGATGACCCTCATATATTTGGTACCACTAATTTCAGGATGATAACTGATTTAAACCTCAATTATTATGTGAGTTGGCTAGGCATCAAATGTTGACCAAGAGGTAGATAACTGAAGGTCCTGTGGTAGCTGCCTTGGAGGGCAGCCTTTCTGGCTAAATGCTAGTTGACCTCCCCATCTAATAGTGTACATTTACTGATTAGAGCCACTCATGTCCATAAAATGTTATATATATATATATATTTTTTTTTTTTTTGAGACGGAGTCTTGCTGTCTCCCAGGCTGGAGTGCAGTGTCATGATCTTGGCTCACTGGGCTCACTGCAAGCTCTGTCTCCCGGGTTCACGCCATTCTCCTGCCTCAGCCTCCCGAGTAGCTGGGACTACAGGTGCCCGCGACCACGCCCAGCTAATTTTTTGTATTTTTGGTAGAGACGGGGTTTCATCATGTTAGCTGTGATGGTCTCGATCTCCTGACCTCGTGATCCACCGCCTCGGCCTCCCAAAGAGCTGGGATTACAGGCGTGAGCCTCTGTGCCCGGCCCATAGAATGTAATATTTGAATGAATAAATGCACTTATATCAATAGCCTGACAAAGTGTTTTAAAGTATACTACAGTTACCATGACAAAGTGTTTCTCTGAAGAAACTTGTCTATGAAGAATAATGAGATTGGTAAGAAAACATAAATAAAAAGAACTACCAAGGAACATTTCCATCCAACTGATTTTAAAGAGAATAAATTGACCTGGAGTTAATTACCTAGTAGAATTAATTTCTACACAGTGATTTGGAATTTGGGAGTACAATTAGTGAAAACAGGTACTGGAATTGCTCCAGTGTTGGGAATGGACCCACATATTCATAAATGGGTACTTATTGGTACTAGAAAATTTTCTACACAATTACTCTACATTAAATATTACTCCAGGTTTTCAGGACATGGAAGTAGCTTCTTTTTAAAAAATCCTTTTCATGTTACTTCTCCACCTAGATAGTTTCAAAAAGTGTATTATTTTTCAATTTCAAAATTTTATTCATTGAAACATAAACTTGGTCAGTTCTATTCAAGACATCAATATAAAGAGAAATCACTGAATTGTAGAAAGGTTTGTATAAATTAAATTGTAAAAGTGTGAGCTAAAAATATGCATTATTAATACAGAAAGCTTCTTAGTAATAATACCAAATATGTGCTCCTTATAATCACATGGATCAAAATTGTATACTCTTTAGTTAAGGGATGTAATGGGGAAAAATAGAAGATTGGAATTGTTTTAATTGCATCTGTGTTCTGAGGAATGGAGCAGCAGCAGCAGAAGAAAAGGTGTTCTTTTACTTAAAACAACAAATTCTATTTTCTAATGCAAGGTGAGTGTATCTTTACCCCTTATTCTAGTGTTTATAGAAGATAGAGCCAGACAAATATTTCTCTCTAAGTGATAGTGACATTATTCCTTCACAGACACTACAGTTGAAAGAATTGGAGGTCCTAGGTCAGAGACAAAGACAGATTGGAATAGAAGTTGGGACCGAAAGTAAATAAGATCTTCCAAAACATGGAGCAAGGGGGACCTAAAAAAGCAGACATCCAGAGAGCAAAGCTCTGTGGTAGGGATTGCTAAGGAATTTTAAGAAGTCAAATATTCATTAGGCAATGTTTTCCTTTTTATCCTGCAGTATAATCCTCCTTTATTATTCCCAGTTCTTTATGAAAATCCCACTAACTGCATTCCCCACTTGTTAGTGGTACTTTAGAGAATAAAAGAAAATAGGCTTGGTTCACTGGCAAGAGGACAAGAAATAGTCTTTAAGTGGAGAAGAAGCTGTTTCGTACAGTAGAAATTGGTAAGGACAGTGGCCACAGGGACTCAACTGTGAGAGGAGGTTAAAAATTTATCAGGAGCAGTATTTTAAACAAAAATCCTCAAAAATAATAGAATCCTTCTCCCATAGAAAATAATTTTCAGAAATACAATGGAGAGTGTCAGAATTTCTTCAGAAAGTAGAAAGAATTTTAAAATTTAACTTATGCAGGTTGGGCACGGTGGCTCACGCCTGTAATCCCAGCACTTTGGGAGGCCGAGGTGGGTGGATTACCTGAGGTCAGGAGTTCGAGACCAGCCTGGCCAATATGGTGAAACCCTGTCTCTACTAAAAATACAAAAGTTAGCCGGATGTGGTGGCACACGCCTGTAGTCCCAGCTACTCGGGAGGCTGAGGCAGGAGGATGGCATGAACCCGGGAGGTGGAGGTTGCAGTGAGCTGAGATTGTGCCACTGCACTCCAGCCTGGGCGACAGAGACAGACTCCATCTCAAAAAAAAAATTAACTTATGTATTAATACAAAAACCAATATCAGAAATGCCAGAGACCTGGATGAACTGATATCTATAAAAGTGATAAAATGAATCAATGTACTTCAGTAAGTTGGGTACATATTTAGACTTATAAATTATCAGCATCTATACCCAGGTATTGCTTGAAAAATGTTACCAATTAATAATTAGCTTAATTTTTACAGCATGTTTGAAAATTTGATATGCCATATCATTTTTATGCAACATACTTCAATAATACATGTCAGTAAATTTATTTAAGATATAAATATTCATTGTAAAGTAGGTAAATGTATGTACTTGCAAAGATACCCAAACACATCAATTAAAATAATGGGATTAGAATTGGATAATAAGTGCATATATATGTATTTGACCTCTAGAGGTTCCTGTACTTCAAAATTCATCACTATATGACAATTGAGTATCATAGCATCTTCTGCTTGAATCCATTTATAAGTTTTTGTTTAAGAAATGAGAGAAAATTAATAATTGTTATGAATATAAACAGATACAGTAAAAATGGCATTTCATTTTCTCTAGATATTCGTGATTCTCTGAATTTGAATAATGTATTTTTTAGATTATAGTCTTCTAAAGAAGAGAAATATTGAAAGAATTAGCTATTTACTTGCACTGAGGGGAGTCATTATGTGCATTTTCTACTATGGTTTTCTTAGTCCACCACTCCTCAAGTTATGATGGTTGACTCAGAAGGGTTGCTTTTATCTTTAATCATAAATCATTATGAATTTCCTTGTCTGAACTAGTCAACATCTACCATGTTGTGGTTAATTGGTACCAATCAGAGTTGAACTTCTTGTGGAAGAATCTGGAGATGTCCATATGAAAGGAAAATAGGCAATAAACTAGATTGTATTATATTGCATTTTTCCAACACTAGGCATATGTGGTTTTGAAAATTACCTATTTACTGAGTGTTTTGTGAGTGGCAGAAACATTTTCCTGCCCTGGCCAAGGGCTAACCTTAGAAAAAGATAAATGTGATGGGTATAAAATCTAAGAGAGCTGACTTAGTTTCAGGATATTGTTAAGCCCGTTGAGACTGGTGCTCCACAACAGTAATTAAGCATAATTATGATGCAGGTCAAGGTAAGACATTTCCGAAATTTTCTAGGACATGTTTTTGAAGGCTTGGGATATTCTGCTTAGCTCATATTTGTGTATGTTTTTTTTAGTTAAAAATGATAACAAGATGATTTTTGCTCTGTTTACAAACATTTGCATGAACACTGAAAAATTCATCCAAATCGTTAAAAATATTCAATGCCTACTAAGAGTCATGGAACCCTATTATATGATGGTGAATCGAGAAAGAACTATACAAAATTATGCTTTCAAGAAACTTATAATTACATTGGCTAGAGGCTTATCAGTTCTATAAATAATATTTACAAAACAATGCAATTCTAACCTTCATAGAGATTTGTATGGCTTGTTAAGAGAACCATAGTCTAAGACAATGGGCTTCAACGGGGGGGCACACTCTGGGATGCAGAGACTTTTGTAGGGTTATAAAGTTAGTTTTAAGGAAATAACTTCCAGATCCTCCTTGTTCCTTTGTTTTCTTCGCTAACATTTTCTTGAGGAAATGCCAGGTTGAGGAGTTAGACAGGTTCTCTTTCCAGCCTTCACTTTCAAAGATCCCTTCTCCTCCTTCACAAAAGAAAGGCATAATTACCATCTCTCCTGATCTTACTGTAACATATTATCCACATTGTGAAAACCAGTGGTACACCAAAGAAAGGGACAACTCAAAATGCTAGTGGTGTGCTGCTCATCATTAAAGATGACATGATGGAAGAGAAAATATATATTTTTAGATTCTAGCAGTGTGTCTTTCTAGATCTATCTAGATTGGCTACTATTATTAAATAATGGGCACTTTTAGAGAAAGGTATCAGATCATGGCAAAAATAAAAGTTTAATTAAAAAGTAATCACATTGTCCCATAAAAGCTAAATATTATATTATGATAAATAGAAATAAAAAGATTTATTCTGTTATGCAATTCCACTACATATAAACATTACCACATTTCTAAAAATTCACGTAAATCCGCCAGTTCCACAGATGTATGTCAAAAGCCTAACTGGTTTCAAACTAGTCATATTATCTTTCCATTAAGTTGAGACAATCATGGAATAAACATTTAACGAATGAAAGAGAAATTGATAAGACTGTGTCATTACCTTTAAAACCCTTTAATTTGTGGCTTTATATTACGATAGAGTAGTAATAGACTTAAATAGCAGAGACCCTTTACTCAAGATATCGATTTGAAATTTCATTGAAAAAAGAGTGAATTGTTTTAAATGGGGCTTATGACAATTACTGTCTTATAAACTGCACTGTTTGCATCAAACACAAATAAATATTTGGGTGGCATTACAAAAGATTGGGTGTACAAAATCATTATTGTGTATATGTATATTTTTTCTCAAGCTCCAATAGAATGAACATTATGGGTATATTATTTAATATACACACCATAATGTATATGAAACCATTTGCTCAGGTCTATACTTTGGAAGAGGCAAGGATTAACATTGAAAATACAAAACTAGATAACCAAAACAGTTTCTATGTGGTTTTAGAATAAATTAAATGCATTCAAATTTATGTTTACATCCCATTTGTGTTTTATTTCAAGCAAAAATAAAATTTCTAATGATCTGTTTTCTCTGATGATATACCAATGATCAGGGACATAAAGGAGCTAAGTAGAATGGTTGTAATTTTGTTTGCATCTACAAAATGTTTGTATATAATAATTATATTTATGGATCTCCATGACCTAGGAATTACTTGCATTTGTAAAAATTAAAGAAAATTAGAAAACATATTTAATTGCCTTATTCACTCTAGTCTTTATCTATGACTTGCAATTCCTCTTTATTTTTGTAGATTTGTGGTGAAATCTCATCAGTTTCTTCAGGGCATCCTTCATGTCCTTATTTCTTAAGGTGTAAATGAGCGGGTTGAGACTTGGAGTGATGACGGTGTAAAAGAGGGTGAGGAACTTGCCCTGGTCTTTGGAAGCCCTGTTACCTGGTTGCAGGTACATGTAGATAATAGTTCCATAGAACATAGACACTACAGTAAGATGAGATCCACAGGTATTCATTGCTTTTCGCTGGCTTGCTTTTGACTTCGTTCTCAGCACAGCTTTGGCAATGTAGCCATAGGATATAAGAATAAGGATGAGAGGTGTGAGGACAATTATAATGCCTAAAGCGAAAACAGACATTTCAACTGTTGTGGTGTCTACACAAGCTATCTTGACCAGAGCTGGCAACTCACACAAGAAATGATCCAGAATGTTGTTTCCACATGTGGGCAAATTCAGAGTGAGTGTACATAATACTACAGAATTGGCCAAACTAATACTCCAGATCATGATAATCATCTTTAGACATAGATGTGGGTTCATGACTACAAAATAATGCAAGGGCTTACATATAGCTGTAAAACGATCATAGGACATAACAGCCAGGAGAAGGCACTCAACTGAGCCCAACCACATGTAAACATAGAGTTGGATGATACAACCCACATAGCTGATGGTCTTATCAGGTCCCCACAAGTTGACCAGCATCTGAGGGATGATGCTGGTTGTGAAACATAGATCTAGGAAAGATAAATTTCTGAGGAAAAAGTACATTGGTGTATGAAGCTGGGAATCCAGGAGAGATGCAAGAATGATGGCTGTGTTACCCACCAATGTAATTAAGTAGAAGATGGCGACAACTCCTGACAGGATCATCTCCATTTTTGGATGGTTAGAGAAGCCAAGCAGAATAAAACCATGTAAAGAACTATAATTGCTTTGGTCCATAGTCCTTCAATGTCTAAATCCTAGAGTGAGAAAAGGAGGAGGAGGAGGTAGATGATGATACAAGGATAAGGAGAAGGAAGAAGAAGGAAGAAGAGGTAGAGGAGGAGAAGGAGGAGGGAGAGGAAGAAGAAAAGGAAAAGAGGAAGAAACAATTTGTCAACATGAACTATCTAAATAATTTGATAAAATTAGAACTAAACAAAGAGAGATAATTTATGTTACTAATTGAAAAAATTTAATGGATAAAAGTAAAAATTACAGCCAAGAAATCTGCTATTTGTCATAGATTCTTTTATGGCAATGAGTTTAATATTAGATTTTTTAAAAAAAATCCAGGTGACCTTGGGGAGTTCACTTTTAAACTTGAGGTCTGAATTATCTAACGTGTAGATTTGAAAGTTTGAAATAGATGCTGGTTCTAAAATGACCCTATGATTCTTTATAAGCTAGTTAGCTTGATAAAATGAACATATTCTTTTATTTGATCAGTAAATTCACCTATAAAATTTAAGTACTGGGCTAATGGTAGGATGAGGAAAAGATGTGATAACCTGGAGGATGAACCTGGGGACATCATGCTAACTGAAGTAAGCTGAAAGACAAATATTGCATGATTTCATTTATATATGGAATCCAAAAAAGTTGAACTCATAGAGGTAGAGAGTGGGGGCAGGAGATGGATGGGAAAAGGGGAGATGTTGATCAAGGGTACTAAGTTTCAGTTAGAAAAAAGGAACCAGTTTTAGTGATCTCACAGAATGGTGACTACAATAAACAATAATGCATTGTTTATTTCAAAATTACTAAGAGTAGATTTTAAGTGTTTTCACCACAAAAAATAAGTATGTTAGGTGATGGGTTTGTTAATTAGCCTGATTTAATCATTACACATTATAAACATATATTAAAACATTATATTGCACCCCATAAACATATACAATTGTTGCTTAATTAAAAATAAACCTTAAAAAAGAGTGAGGAAAGATTGTTCTTCTTTTTTCATATCTTAGTGACTAAGCACCTTTGATCTCCTAGTTTGTTATGTAGGACATCTGGTGTTTACCCTTGGACGCCTTGTCTCTCTCATTCTTAACGCCTTATCACCAAAACTGGTAAATTTGGATGCAAATATATATGCTAATTATCCTATCACTTTAAAAAATCCCTACCACCACAACCCTAATTCAAATCACTATGATTTCTTTTCTGGATTCTGGCAATAGTCTTGCATCCAGTCCTTGCATCCAGTCTTATGCCTTTACATTGTTACAACATTTGATGAAATCATGTCATCCATCTCCTTAAAACTTGTCAGCCACTTTACACTACATTTAAGAAATACTATATTGTATACTTAAAATTTTGCTAGGAGGGTAGATCTTATGTTAAGTGTTCTCATCACACGCACACACATACACAACACAATAAAGAAGGTGGGAGGAAACTGTTGGAGGTGATGGATGTATATATGGGATAGATTGTGTTGATGGTTTCACAGGTATATACTCACCTTCAAACTCATCAAGTTGTATACATTAAATCTGTACTGCTTTTGTATGTCAGTCATACTTCAATAAAGTGGTCAAAAAGCTAATATAAAACATTTGGTTAAAAAATAACAGCCATTAGCCAGGTGTGGTGGCGTACTCCTATAGTCCCAGCTACTCAGGAGGCTGAGGCGGGAGGATCACTTGAGCCCAGGAGTTTGAGGTTGCGGTGAGCTATGATTGCACCACTGCACTCCACCCTGGGTGCTGGAGCAAGATCCTGTCTCAAAAACAAACAAAACCCAGATAAATATCAAACTGGTGCTTCTTCTCTCTCTTTATATAGATGTAGTACAAAAAGTTGTGCTTTTTTTGTTTGTTATGCCATTTCAAATATGTTTTTTTGAATGTTATTAAGAAATTACTTCCAACTGTGGCCATGATTCAAAAGTGGATACATTTGTGAGACTAACCGGAGATGGTGGTTGAAATAGCCGTTTTGAGAAAATCATTTTGTGATTTCTTTAGCATTAGCTTTTCAAAAATTATGATTTGATTCTGAGTTTTGCCATTAATCAAATTGGATAGAAAGAAAAATAATTCTCTGAAAGATATTTCAAGCTGTCACACCCCATTAAAGTTCCATAATGTCTGAGCAGGGGCATCAATAATTAATGCTTATTTATTTTAACAGACTCGTTGATGTGTATAATTGTGCCTAACTTCTGAATAAAATAGGGCTTCAGTTAAAATTATATAAAAACCTGAAAATTCTTTTAAAATTAAAATCAATATTATGCTGTTAATTTCTTAACTATTTCATTATTACTACAGTCCATAAAGATTAACTCAGGAAAGAATAAAAATCCTCCTTCTGCCTATTAAAAAGTGACATAGAAAAATCTTCAAATAAATTTTCATGCACAGTATGAGATTTAGAAATGGATACATAAAATCTGAGTCCTTTATGGCTCCACAACCTTCAAGAATAAAATATTTTGCTGACAAGTTTCACAAATGGCATTAAAAAACAAAACAAAACAAAATTAAAAACAAGTATCTGAATTCTTCATTTTCAATTTAATCTATCTTTCTCGCTTTTGTTTCTGCTGGATCAATATTTATTCTCAGACTTCTGAAATAAAACCAGCCCATACAGATCTAAGTTCTTTTTCTTCTACTTTCTACAAATTGTTTTACCAATCCAGGCATACTGTTTCTCCAAGAGATTAAGGATGAACATTACTGTGATCCAGAGGGAGTTCCTTTGCCATTCTACTTCTCGACTTTTGTAGAATCCACACTATGGAAAATAGATCCCGGTTAAGCATTTTTTTCTCCAGGGCTGTAAATTTCTCATGATTTCCCTGCAGTGCCACGGAGAATTCTGCTTTTCCCAAAGTGTGTTAGGGTAGAGATTCTCAACAGGACTCCTCCTTCTCGAATATATGACTTCAAGTAAGAGGATGAAACCTGTCACAAATTCTTACTTCTTGTTCTGAGTTTAAATCAACCTGCAAGTAGGTCTTGACCATAGAGAAACATTAGGAAAAGCAACCGGATAATTCAGAATCAGAATTGAACAAAATTTCCCAGTATTACCTGAAGACTCAGATAATCAAAAAGATTATCTAAACCATTGGGACTGCATCCAATTAACTTTACTAGAGTACAGTGTCATAGAAAATGCCAGCCTAGAATTAGACCATACCCTAATATTTCACTAGGGCAGGTTTAGTAGATGTAAAAGTTATTTAATATGAAGGAAAACTATAGGACAAAGAAATAAGAAAATGTATTTTCATATTTTTTTGGTTGTGAATGTATTATAATATAAAATTTACTCTTAAATAATGTAGATTTCCAACACTACAATTATACTTAGCTACAGAAAAATCTTACCATTCAAAGCACAAATATTGATTGTGGAACTAAACTTGCTCTGAGCAGATATCATTTAAATGAGGTACCTCTAGTGGTTATCTCTGATACCCATGGTCAGAACAGTTGTATTTGAAAGAGATGTTTAATCCCCAAAGCTCTAAACAGTAAGACCAGAATCATAAGATTTACATTTTTTCTCAGTTGTTTTGGTGACCATGAGGGATGATTCAAATACTTCATTGTCTACGACAATTAGTTTTGTTATTGTCTCAGAGGTCACTATTTACACATTAAATTCTAGAGTAAGTATATACTATGAAAATTTTTGTGAGTTGGCTTATAATCATAGGTTTTAACAGCTTCCTTAAATTAAAATTACATATCAGTAATAATTGGTTTTAATAAAATACATAAGCACGAATTGGCTGCCTCATGATACATGTTCAAATGTGGATGACATTACTGATCAATAAAATAATTTTAACTATCTGCTTCTGTACGATAATCAATATATTTTACACTTGAGATATAGTATAGTGTAATGGTTAGATGGATAGATTGTGGAGCCAGACTTTCTGGGCTGAAATCCTGGTGGCTACAGTTACCAGATGTGTGAACTTGGGAAAATTACTTAACCTTCATTGCCTCCGATTTCTTATCTATAATAGGGGATATTATAATACATAATTTAAAGGGCGAATGTAAGGATTCAATAAGTTTAACATATGTAAATACTACAGTACTGGTTGGCACACAGCATCCAAATAAGTATTAACTGTTACAATTTCAATCAGTTCAGGGTGTCTGTGTGCTGCAGAAATATTTGGGGAAAGTTTATGCTGATATTTGATAAAACATCTGGAAAATACTCTCCTTATAAGCACTTCCTTTAGGATTTTATATATAATACACACATATATGAAATATATATACTATATACATAGTATATACATATGTATGTGTATGTATTCTTTATAAATGCTATAATAATGATGATAAAAAGAAACATAACATCTACTAATGGTACATTTTTGTCTATCAAGATTCTAAACATCTGAATACTTGAAACTGTTCACTTTGACTGGAGATCTCAGTTTCACTTATGTATTTTTCTCTTCCCCTTTAGTCAAATTTTCTACAGTTCTCCTTTTTCTTTTAAAAACCACTTTAAAGTTATAATTGAATTTCACAATTTCAATTCAACCATAGCAAATATTCAATTTTCATTTGAAAAACAAAAATGTATATAAATTGTCATGCCCACCCATGTTTCTGGTTTAAATACATTCCTACACAGTGACTTTTCTAGTCCCTTGCTCCTTATTCTGTGATTAAAATCCATGGGTTTGTTACTCTGGAGAAATTATAGAGAAATCCTTTGGATTTTTGAATTAATTTTTAAAAAGGTTTTCATTTGTTATCAAAAAATGGATATACCCAGCTTGTAAAGCAGATGCCCTTGCCTTAAACTTTAATATAAGACCTTTCCATACCCCTTTGAATAAATCAAGACATGTTTTCCTGTTTCCTTTTTATTTAACAATTTTTTCCCTTGCTTACTTTAGCCCTTAACTTATGGAAACCATTTAAAGTGAAGTTATTAGCAGTGCTTCCACAACTGGCCGCATATCAGAGTAACTGTATTGGCTGGCATATGTAGAAATTTTAGAAATACAGTGTCCTGAGATTCCTATGCCCTTGCCAAAGGCTCAATTCTTTTCTGTTTATACTGTGTCCCTAGATAGAATCTTAGAGTTTTAAGGATTTGAATCCCATCTACATATTGATGGCTTTCAAGTGTCTATTTCCAGTCTTCTACATTGAGCATGGAATAGGTAGTTCCAACTGCCTAATTTCATGCACAAAATTATGAGTCTAAACATAGCTAAAATAGATCTCTTGATTGCACTGAATCTGCTCTCATTCCAGTCTTCCTCATTGTAGTAAATGATATAAACATGTACCTATTTCTGGCCAGAAACCAGTAATTAAGGAGTTATCCTTAATTACTAGCCTGCCCTCATCTTGAAAATCTGAATGATTCCAAGCTCGACTTCTCTCCATTTCCAGAATGACTAACAAACTGGGCCACCCTATTTTTCCTGGATTACCCAATGGATTACTATCTTGTTTCTCTGCTTTAATTCATTCCCCTTTCAATCTATTCTCCATATGGCGGCCAAAAGCGTTCTTTAAAAAAACCACACGTTGGCTGGGCGCGGTGGCTCACGCCTGTAATCCCAGCACTTTGGGAGGCCGAGGCGGGCAGATCACCTGAGGTCAGGAGTTCGAGACCAGCCTGATAAACATGGAGAAACCCCGTCTAACAATACAAAATCAACAATACAACAATACAAAATTAGCCGGGTATGGTGGCGCATGCCTGGAATCCCAGCTACTCTGGAGGCTGAGACAGGAGAATCGCTTGAACCCGGGAGACAGAGGTTGCTGTGAGCCGAGATCGCACCATTGCACTCCAGCCTGGGCGACAGAGCGAGACTGTGTCTCGAAAAAACAAAAAACAAAACCCAAGAAAACCAAAACCACAAATCAAGTATTTCCATTTGCCAATTTGAAATCTTTTTAGACTTCCTATGCACTTAACTATAAAATTCAGACTCCTTACCAAGAACTACCAGATGCACCTTGCCTGGCTCCTTTTCATCCCTCCCTCCTTCTCCCATTCGTCTCATGCCTTTGTCATTCCAGGGTTGCAGGTGTTAAAGTGTCTTTGCATTGAATTTCATTGGCCTGGCAGATTCTGTCCCCAAATTGAACTCCTTGTTTGTAATCGTTTTTCAGATATAATCTATTCAACGAGATCTTCCTTGACTACTTAATCTAAATTAAAATCCCTCCTCCCCAGCTAATCTCTATCACATTTCCATGTGTTTTTCGTAGCACTTATCACTCTAAATTTTGTTTTTTTTAAATGTATCTCCCCACAATTAAAACCTAAGATCCAAACGAATATGGATCTGATCCCCCTTTTTTGCCACGTAACTGAATGAATCAATTCAACAAATTTGATTAGCAATAGAAATATAGCAAACAACTAAATAGACAAAACAGTAAAGTCCCTGACTTAATGGAGCTTACTTTTATTTGTGAAAACAAGCTCATCAGCCAAATTATATATAGTGTTTTATTTGTTCATTGCTTTTTTTTTCTTTCTTTTTTTATATAACATCCCACCAAATAGAAACATTCTCTCTTTAGGAATAGTGTTCCGTGTAGATGTTGATTTCTTACTATGCAATTTTACGGACATTGTCTTCCAATATTTCCGTAGACTAATTGGTCAGGACCTGATAGCCCTGTGATAATGCTGCACTCAGCATTCCTTGATGATGCTATATTAGCTTCCAGTGGCTGTTTGGTGCCTGGAAGGGAGTCTAGCATGTAACAGGGATCAATAATTGTTTGTTGACTATAAAGCAGTTAGAACAATATCTGATGTGTATATTAAATATCCCATTCAGTCAAGGTTATCTAGGGTGATATATTCAAGAAATATAATGCTAACTCATTTATGTGGTGATGGAGATCCGTGTTTAATGATATTGATCATCAAATAGCCTGGATAAAGAGTATGTTCCCAGAAGAAAGAGATTTCTGAGACTGCTTTTATGTTATCCTTTACATTTCTATTTTTTGACTCTTTTTTTTTTGGCTTTTGGCTTTTGGGTCTCACTCTGTCACCCAGGCTGAAGTATAGTGGTGTGATCATGGCTCATTTTGGCCTCAAACTCTTGGGCTCAAGCAATCCTCCCATTTCAGTCTTTCCAGTCACTGGGATTAATGGTGTGTGCCACAAAACTTGGCTCTGTTTGATTTTTTTTTTTTTGGTGGACCATATATTTTACCAAAATATCTGAAATATTGTAAATGATATTTTTTGAAATATCGGAAAATATTTTTGGTATATTTTGGGGAAAAATACAAAACCAAAACAATCTACCTATTTACCTTCTCGTGAACTTATGAAATCAAATATTTTAAGCCTTATTTTCCCCAAACCGTATATGATTCTCTCAATAGTTGCAGAAAAATCTTCTGATAAAATCCAACACCTCTTCATGTTAAAACCCTCAATAAACTAGGTATCCAAAGAACATACTTCAAAATAATAAAAGCCATTTATTTCAGTCCCACAGCCAACATCATACCAAATAGGTAAAAGCTGGAAGCATTCCCTTTAAGAACTGGAATAAGACAAGAATTCTGACACTACTCTTATTCAACGTAGTACTGAAAATCCTAGCCAAATAAATCAGGCAAGAGAGAGAAATAAAAAGCATCCAGATAGGAAAAGAGGAGTCAAATTATGCTATGATTCTATGACTAGAAAACCCCAAAGACTCTGCCAAAAGGCTTCTAGACCTGATAAAACAACTTAAGTCAAGTTTGAAGATACAAAATCAATGTAAAAAATCAATAGCATTTCTATACACCAATAATGTTCAAGCTGAGAGCCAAATCAAGAATGTAATTCCCTTTAAAATACACACACACACACACACACACACACACACACACACACACAAAATCTAGGAATACTTCTAACCAAGGAAGTGAAAGATTTCCACAAAAAGAACTACAAAGCACTGCTGAAAGAAATCATAGATGACACAAACAAATGGAAAAACCTTCCATGCTTATGGATTGGAAGAATCAACAACATAAACAAAATGTCTAAATTTTACCGCCTAAAGCAATCTACAGATTCAACACTATTCCTATTAAATTACCAACGTCATTTTACACAGAACTAGAAAAAATGATTCTAAAATTACACGGAACCAAAAAAGAGCCCAAATAGCCATAACAATCCTAAGCAAAAAGAGCAAAACTGGAAGCATCACATTACTGGACTTCAAACTATGCTACAAGTCTACAGTAATCAAAACAGCAAGGTACTGGCACAAAAATAGGCACCTAGACCAATGGAACAGAATAAAGAACCCAGAAATAAAGCAGCATACCTACAACCAACTGATCTTGAACAAAGTCGACAAAAATAAGTAATGCAGAAAGGACTCCCTATTCCATAAATGGTCCTAGGAAAACTGGCTAACTATATTCAGAAGGATGAAACTTAACCCTTACCAAGCACCATATACAAAAATTAATTCAAGAAAGATTAAAGACTTAAATGTAAAGCCCCAAACTATAAAAATCCTGGGGAAAAAACTCAGAAATACCCTTTTGGACATTGGCCTTGGCAAAGAACTTATGACCAAGTCCTCAAAAGCAATTGCAACACACAAAAAATTGACAAATGGGACTTAATTAAACCAAAGAGCTTCTGCACAGCAAAAGTACCTATCAACAGAATAAACAGACATCTTACAGAATGGGAGAAAATATTTGCAAACTATGCATCTGACAAAGGACTAATATCCAGAATCTATAAGGAACCTAAACAAATCAACAAGAGAAAAACAAATAACCCCATTAAAGAATGGGCAAAGAACATGAATGGACAATTCTCAAAAGAAGACATAAAAGCAGCTAACAAACATATAAAAAATGCTCGAACACTAATCATTAGAGAAATGCCACTCAAAACCACAATGAGATACCATCTTGCACTAGTCTGAATGGCTATTACTAAAAAGTAAAATAATGACAGATATTGATGAGGCTGCAGAGAAAATGGAACACTTTTATACTGCTGGTGGGAATGTAGATTAGTTCAGCCACTATGGAAAGTAGTTTGGGAATTTCTCAAAGAACTGAAAATAGAATTACCATTCAACCTAGCAATTCCATCACTGGGTATGTGCCTCCCACCCAAATAAATTGTTCTACCCAAAAGACACATGCATTCACATGTTCATTGCAGCACTATTCACAATTGCAAAGACATGGAATCAAGCTAGGTGCCCATTAATGGTGGATTGGATAAAGAAAATGTGGTACATATACAACATGGAATGCTACACAGCCATAAAAGAGAACGAAATAATGTCCTTTGAAGCAATATGGATGCAGCTGGAGGCCATTATCCTTAGCAAATTAATGCAGAAATAGAAAACCGAACACCACATCTTCTCACTTGATTTAAAATTTAAGGAGATAAATCCTGGGTACATACAGACATAAAGATGGAAACAGTAGACACTAGGGATTCCAAAAGGAAGGAGAGGAGGAGAGGAGCAAGGACTGAAAAATTTCCTATTGTATACTATATTCACTGTCTGGGTGACAGGATTAATATAAGCCCAAACCTCAGCATCACACAATATACCCTTGTAATAAACCTGCCCATGTATCCCCCTGAATCTAAACTAAAAATAGAAATTTAAAAAACCCCTTTTTCATAGTAATCATAAAATATACACTTATGCAATTTATGAAAATAATATAGTTTTACCTCTGTTCTTTTCACTGCAGCTTTGTGAAGGTATAATTAACAAGTAAAAATTGCATACACTTACTATGTGTATGATGTTTTGACATATGTATATATTGTGAAGTGATTACCACAAACCAGCTAATTAACCTATCCATCAGCTGACATATTTTTTCTTGTTTTGTGGTGAGAATATTTAAGATCTACTCTCTTAACAAATTTCAAATATTAAATACTGTATTGTTAACTATATTCACCATGCTGCATATTAAATCCCCAGAACTTGTTCGCCTTATAACTGAAAGCTTGTACCTTCTGACCAACATCTCCCTATTTTCCCCTCCCCCAGCTTTTGGAAACCACCATTCTAATTCTATTCTCTGTTTCTGTGAATTCAGCTTTTTAAGATTTCATGTATAAGTGAGTTCATATCGTATTTGTCTTTCTCTGATTCATGTATTTTACTAAGCATAATGCCAACAAGGTTGATCCATGTTGTTGCAAGTGGCAGAATTTCCTTCTTTTTGATGGATGCTTGGTTTGTTTCCAAGTGTTGGCTAATGTGAATGATGCTACATTGAACACAAGAGTGCATATATCTCTTTGACATACTATTTTCGTTTCCTTTGGGTATATACCCAGCAGTGGGATTGCTGGATAAGATGGTAGCTCTAGTTTTGATTTTTGAGGAACCTCCATACTGTTTTCTAAAATGGCTGTTCCAATTTACATTCCCACCAGTAGTGCATAAGGATTCCCTTTCTTTCTGAATCCTTGCCAATACTTGTTATCTCGTCTCGATAATAGCCATCCTAACATGTTGGCTGATCTCATTGGGGTTTTAATTTTCATTTCTCTCATGAATAGTGCTGTTGAGCATTATCATTATTTCACGTATCTGTTGGCCATATGTATGTCTTCTATTGAGAAATGTCAGCTCAGGTCCTTTGGCCGTTTAAAAATCAATTTATTGTATTATTTTTGCTATGGAGTTGTTTGAATTCCTTGTATTTTTTGGATATTAACTCCTTATCAGATTTGTGAGTTACGTAAGATAATGGTTCAATTTTATTATTTTGCATATAGATACTAAGTTTTCCCAGCACCATTTATTGAATCAAGTATCCTTTCTCCTGTATATTCTTGACACATTTGTCAAATATTAGTTAGTTGACCATATATGTGAGGATTTATTTTTGGGGACTTGATTCTGTTCCATTGGTTTGTGTGTCTGCTTTTATGCCAGTATCATACAGTTTTGATTCTTATGGTTCTGTAATATGGTTTCAAGTCAGGAAATGTGATGCCTCAGCTTTTCTGTTGTTGTTGTTCAAGTTGTTTTGGCTATTTATGTTTTTTTGTGGTTCCATACATATTTTAGAATTTTTCCTCCAATGCTGTGAAAAATATCATTAGAGTTTTGATAAGAATTGCATTGAATCTGTCAATTACTTTGGGTATTATGGACATTTTAGTAGTATTAATTCTTCTATTCCATGAGCATGAAATATTTTAAACATTTATTTGTATTTTCTTCAATTTATTTCATCAATATTTTATAGTTTTAAGTGTAAAGATTAATCACTTCCAGGGTTAAATTTATTTCTAAATATTTTATTCATTTTGATGATACTGTAAATGGCATTTGTTTTTCCAGATAATTCAGTGTTACTGTACAGAAACACAATTATTTTATGGCACATGTATACATATGTAACTAACCTGCACAATGTGCACATGTACCCTAAAACTTAAAGTATAATAAAAAAAAAAGAAACAATTATTTTTTCCATTGACAAATAAAAATTGTATTTCTTTACAGTATACAATCATGGTGTTTTGATATATGAATACATTGTGGAATGGCTAAGTTAAGCTATTTAACATATTTATTACCTCCTTTTTTGTGATGAGAATATTTAAAATATAATATTTTGGCAATTTTTAAGAATACAATATATTGTTATTAAGTATGGCCATCATGATGTACAATAGATCACTTGAATTTATTCCTCCTAACTGAAATTTTGTATCCTTTCACTAAGATCTGTCTGTATTCCCCACCCCCCAGCCTCTGGTAAGCACCATCTTACTCCGTTTCTGTCAGTTTAACTGTTTTAGATTCCATTTGTTTCTCTGTGTCTCACTTATTTCACTTAATGTCCTCCAGGAAATACATGTTATAATTAATGGCAAGCTTTCTTTCTTTTTTAAAATTACTGAATAGTATTCTATAGTGTATATAAACCACATCTTCTTTATCCATTTTTTGTTGATGGACACTTAGGTTGATTTTTGCTATTGTGTATATTTTTGCTATTGTGTATATTTTTGCTATTGTGTATAATGCTGCAATGAACATGGGAGTGAGATATCTTTTCAAATAAGGCTTTCTTTGGGTATATATCCAGAACTGGGATTCCTGGATCATATGATATTTCTATTTTTAATTTTTTGAGGAACCCCCTTACTATTTTCCATAAAGGCTATACTAATTTATATTTCCACCAATAGAGTGCAAGGGTTTTCTTTCTCTGCATCCTCTCCAACATTATCTTTTATTTTTTTTGATAATAGCCATTCTAACATGTGTGAGGTGATCTCACTGTGGTTTTAATTTGCATTTTTCTAATGATTGGTGATGTTGAGCATTTTTTATATACCTGGCCATGTCTTTGAGAAATGTCTATTCAATCATTTGTCCAATTTTTCATTGGGCTGTTAGTTTTCTTACTACTGAGTTGTTTGAGTTCCTTATTTATTTTGCATATTAAACACATCAGATGTATGGTTTGCAAATATTTTCTACTAATATTTCTTTGGGTTGTCTATTCACTCTGTTGATTGTTTCCTTTTCTGTGCAGAAGCTTTTTAGTTTGATGTAATTCTATTTGTCTATCTTTATTTTTGTTGCGTGTGCTTTGAGGATCACCTAAAAAAACCATTGCTCAGGCCAATGTCATGGAGGTTTTCCCCTATGTTTTCTTCTTGTAGTTTTAAAGTTTATGGCATTATGTCTAACCTTTTAGTTAATTTTGAGTTGAGTTTCGTAGGTGGTGTGAGATGAGGGTCTAATTTCATTCTTCTGCAGGTGGACATCCAGTTTTCCAAACACCATTCATTAAAGAGACTGTTCTTTTCTCATTATGTGTTTTTGGCACTTTTGTTGAAAATCAGTTGGCTGTAAATACTTGGATTTATTTCTAGGTTCCTTATTCTATTGTATTGGTCTATGTGTCTCTTTTTATGCCAGTACCATACTGTTTTTATTACCATAGCTTTGTAGTATATTTTCAAATTAAGTACTATAATGCCTTCAGCTTTGTTCTTCTTGCTCAAGATTGCTTTGTCTGTTTAGAGTCTTTTGTGATTCCACATAAATTTTAAGATTGTTTCTCTATTTCTACGAAAAATGTCATTGGAATTTTGATAAGAACTGTATTGAATTTATTGATTATTTTGGGTAGTATGAACATTTTAGCAGTTTTAGTTCTTCCAATCCATGAACAAGGAATTTTTTCATTTATCGTCTTCAATTTCTTTTACCAATGCCTTACAGATTTCACTATACATATCTTTCACCTCTTTGGTTTAATTTATGCCTGAGCATTTTCATGTTTTGAAAATAGGATTGTTTTATTGATTCTTTTAAAAATAGTTTGTTGTTAGTGTAACACTACTTTTTTAAAAAAATATAAATTAAGTTCTAGGATACACGTGCAGAACATGCAGGTTTGTTACACAGGTATAAATGTGCCTTGGTGGTTTGTTGCACTGATCAACCCATCATCTACATTAGGTGTCTCTCCTAATGCTAGCCCTCTCCTAGCCTCCCACCCACTGACAAGCCCCAGTGTGTGATGTTCTCCTCCCTGTGTCCATGTGTTCTCATTATTCAACTCCAACTTATAAGTGAGAACATGCGGTGTTTGATTTTCCGTTCCTGCGTTAGTTTGCTGAGAATGATGGTTTCCAGCTTCATCCATGTCCCTGCAAAGGACATGAACTCATCATTTTTTATGGGTGCATAGTATTCCATGGTGCTTATGTACCACATTTTCTTTATCCAGTTTATCATTGTTGGGCATTTGGGTTGGTTCCAAGTCTTTGCTATTGTGAACAGTGCTGCAATAGACAAACGTGTGCATGTGTCTTTATAGTAGCATGATTTATAATCCTTTGGGTATATACCCAGTAATGGGATAGCATGATTTATAATCCTTTAGGTATATACCCAGTAATGGGATTGCTGGGTCAAATGGTATTTCTGGTTCTAGATCCTTGAGGAATCGCCACACTGTCTTCTACAATGGTTGAACTAATTTACACTCCCACCAACATCGTAAAAGTGTTCCTATTTCTCCACATCTTCTCCAGCATCTGTTGTTTCCTGACTTTTTAATGATCACCATTCTAACTGGTGTGAGATGGTATCTCATTATGGTTTTGATTTGCATTTCTCTAATGACCAGTGATAATGAACTTTTTTTCATATGTTTGTTGGGCACATAAATGTCTTCTTTTGAGAAGTGTCTGTTTATATCCTTTGCCCACTTTTTGATAGGGTTGTTTGATTTTTTTCTTGTAAATTTAAGATACTTGTAGATTCTGGATATTAGCCCTTTGTCAGATGGATAGATTGCAAAAATTTTCTCCCATTCTTTAGGTTGCTTGTTCATTCTGATGATAGTTTCTTTTGCTATGCAGATGTTCTTTAGTTTAATTAGATCCCATTTGTTGATTTTGGCTTTTGTTGCCTTTGCTTTTGGTGTTTTACACATGAAGTCTTTGCCCATGCCTATGTCCTGAATGGTATTTCCCAGTTTTCTTGTAGGATTTTTATGGTTTTAGGTCTTACATTTAAGTCTTTAATCCATCTTGAGATAATTTTTGTATAAGGCGTAAGGAAGGGTCCAGTTTCTGTTTTCTGCATATGGCTAGCCAGTTTTCCCAACACCATTTATTGAATAGGGAATCCTTTCCCCATTGCTTGTTTTTGTGAGGTTTGTCAAAATCAGATGGTTGCAGATGTGTGGTGTTATTTCTGAGGCCTCTCTTCTGTTCCATTGCTCTATATATTTGTTTTGGTACCAGTACCATGCTGTTTTGGTTACTGTAGCCTTGTAGTATAGTTTGAAGTCAGATAGCGTGATGCCTCCAGCTTTGTTCTTTTTGCTTAGAATTGTGTTGGCTATACAGGCTCTTTTTTGGTGCCATGTGAAATTTAAAGTAGTTTTTCTAATTCTGCGAAGAAAGTTAATGGTAGCTTGATTGGGATAGCATTGAATCTATAAATTCCTTTGGGCAGTATGGCCATTTTCACGATATTGATTCTTCCTATCCATGAACATGGAATGTTTTTCCATTTGTTTGTGTCTTCTCTCATTTCCTTGAGCAGTGGTTTGTAGTTCTCCTTGAAGAGGTCCTTCACATCCCTTGTAAATTGTACTCCTAGGTATTTTATTCTCTTTGTAGCAATTGTGAATGAGAGTTCACTCATGATTTGGCTATTTGTTTGTCTATTACT
Organism: Homo sapiens; assembly: GCF_000001405.40. Classification (NCBI taxonomy): domain Eukaryota; kingdom Metazoa; phylum Chordata; class Mammalia; order Primates; family Hominidae; genus Homo; species Homo sapiens. Next base: position 326,035 of record NT_167245.2, read on the forward strand.
GGTGTATAAGAATGCTTGTGATTTTTGCATGTTGATTTTGTATCCTGAGAGTTTGCTGAAGTTGCTTATCAGCTTAAGGAGATTTTGGGCTGAGACGATGGGGTTTTCTAAATATGTAATCATGTCACCTGCAAACAGAGACAATTTGACATCCTTTCTTCCTATCTGAATACCCCTTATTTCTTTCTCTTGCTTGATTGTCCTGGCCAGAACTTCCAATACTATGTTGAGTAGGCGTGGTGAGAAAGGGCATCTTTGTCTTGTGCTGGTTTTCCAAGAAAATGCTTCCAGCTCTTGCCTATTCAGAATGATACTGGCTGTGGGTTTGTCATAAACAGCTCTTATTATTTTGAAATATGTTCCATCAATACCTAGTTTATTGAGTGTTTGTAGCATGAAGGGGTGTTCAATTTTATTGAAGGCCTTTTCTGCATTTATTGAGATAATCATGTGGTTTTTGTCGTTGGTTCTGTTTATCTGATGGATTACGTTTATTGATTTGTGTATGTTGAACCAGCCTTACATCCCAGGGATGAAGCTGACTAGCTCATGGTGAATAAGCTTTTTGATGTGCTGTTGAATTGTTTGCTAGTATTTTATTGAAGATTTTCACATCAATGTCCATCAGGGATATTGGCCTGAAATTTTCTTTTTTGTTGTTGTTGTGTCTCTGCCCTGTTTTGGTATCAAGATGATGCTGACTTCATAAAATGAGTTAGGGAGGAGTCCCTCTTTTTCTATAGTTTGGAATAGTTTCAGAAGGAATGATACCAGGTCATCTTAGTACCTCTGGTAGAATTTGGCTGTGAATCTGTGTGGTCCTGGAATTTTTTTGGTTGGTAAGCTGCTAATTATTGCCTCAATTTCAGAGCCTGTTATTGGTCTATTCAGAGATTCAACTTCTTCCTGGTTTAGTCTTGGGAGGGTGTATGTGTCCAGAAGTTTATCAATTTCTTCTAGATTTTCTGGTTTATTTGCGTAGTGGTGTTTATAATATTCTCTGATGGTAGTTTGTATTTCTGTGAGATCAGTGGTGATATCTCTTTATCGTTTTTTGTTGTGTCTGATTCTTCTCTCTTTTCTCCCTTTTCATAAAGCATTTCATGGATTCATTGACTTTTTGAAGGGTTTTTTGTGTCTGTATCTCCTTCAATTTTGCTCTGATTTTAGTTATTTCTTGTCTTCTGCTAGCTTTTGAATTTGTTTGCTCTTGCTTCTCTAGTTCTTCTAATTGTGATGTTAAGGTGTCAGTTTTAGATCTTTTCCTCTTTCTGATGTTGGCATTCAGTGCTATAAATTTTCCTCTAAACACTGCTCTAGCTGTGTCCCAGAGATTCTAGTACATTGTGTCTTTGTTCTCATTGGTTTCAAAGAACTTCTTTATTTCTGCCTTAATTTTGTTATTTACCCAGTAGTCATTCAGGAGCAGGTTGTTCAGTTTCCATGTAGTTGTGTAGTTTTGAGTGAGTTTCTTAATCTTGAGTTCTAATTTGATTGCACTGTGGTCTGAGAGACTGTTTTGTATGATTTCTCTTTTGCATTTGCTGAGGAGTGTCTTACTCCCAATTATGTGGCCAATTTTAGATTAAGTGTAATGTGGTTCTGAGAAGAATGCATATTCTGCTGATTAGGGGTGAAGAGTTCTGTAGATGTCTATTAGGTCTGCTTGGTCCAGAGCTGAGTTCAAGTTCTGAATATCCTTATTAATTTTCTGTCTCACTGATCTGTCTAATATTGACAGTGGGGTGTTAAAGTCTCCCACTATTATTGTGCAGGAGTCTGAGTCTCTTTGTAGGTCTCTAAGAACTTGCTTTATGAAACTGGGTGCACTTGTATTGGGTGCGTATATATTTAGGATAGTTAGCTCTTCTCGTTGCACTGATCCCTTTACCGTTATGTAATTCCCTTCTTTGTCTTTTTTGATTTAAAGTCTGTTTTATCAGAGACTAGGATTGCTACTGCTGCTTTTTTTTTTTTTGGCTTTCCATTTGCTTGGTAAATATTCCTCCATCCCTTTATTTTGAGCCTGTGTGTGTCTTTGCACATGAGATGGGTCTCCTGAATACAGCACACTGATGGGTCTTGACTCTTTATCCAATTTATCAGTATGTGTCTTTTAATTGGAGCATTTAGCCCATTTATATTTAAGGTTAATATTGTTATGTGTGAATTTGATCATGTCATTATGATGCTAGCTGGTTATTTTGCCTGTTAGTTGATGCAGTTTCTTCATAATGTCAATAGTCTTTACAATACTGCAAAAACAGTACTGATTTTTTTATGTTGATTTATATCCTGAACTAGTTCATTAGTTTTAACAGTTTTTGGTGTAATATTTGGGGTTTCTATATATAACAATAGGTAATCAGTATACAAAGACCATTTCTTTCCTTCCTCCCTCCCTCCCTTTCTCTCTCTCTTTCTTTCTCTCTCTCTTTTGTTCATTCCGATTTGTATGCTTTTAATTTCTTTCTCTTGCCTAATTGCCATGGCTATAACTTCCAGTACTAGGTTGAATAGAAGTGGTGAGAGTGGGCATCTTTGCTTTGTTTCTGATCTGAGAGGGAAAACTTTCAAATTGATGGTCTCAGCTGTGGGGTTGTCATACATGGTCTTTATTGTGTTGTCATACATTCCTTATAACCAATTTGTTGAGACATTTCTTATGAAGAAATGTTGAATGTTTTTCAAATTCTTTTCCAATCTCAAAGTACCAGAATTCTTCCTGAGGTGTTTTTTTTTTTTTTTTTGGCAGGGTCTTGCTCTGTCACCCAGACTAGAGTGCAGTGGTGTGATCATGGCTCACTGCAGACTTGACCTTCTGGTCTCCGGGAATCCTGCCTCAGCCCCCTGAATAGCTGGAACTATGGAACTATGAGCATGCACCACCACACTTGGCTAATTTTTAAATTTCTGTAGGATAGGTGTCTCACTACATAGCCCAAGTTGGTCTTGAACTTCTGGGCTGAAGCAATTCTCCTGCCTTGGCTTCCCAAAGTGCTGGGATTAGAGGTATAAGCCACCATGCCTGGTCCTTTCATGAGTTTTTATGCTTGCAATTCAGATTAATAAGTGAATGACAGTGAGAATTCAATTCTCCAATGCCTACTCTCATAATCTAAAGAAAGCAAGGCAGAAGTGTTTTCCTGAAAGGAAGAATCTTTGTTTTTAGTTTTTTAAAGATTAGGTTTACTGGATGTCAGAAAAATATGTTTACATTAAGGCAACATTGAGTATTGATGATGGTATGTAAGTTCTTAGCTGTCAAGCCTCTTAAACAGTGTTCTCTGAATTTTACATATGTGAAAAGACATTAATCCTCTTAGACTTTGGGGTTGTTGTGTGAGGCCTAGGAGGAGCACACTAGCAGTGGCCAGTCTTCTTTAATCAAGAACAGCCTTATACATTCCATGTTATGTGTGCTATGATGTGAAAATATTTGGAAAACTCTCTCTTCCCCCATTGCTGCCAGACTTATGGTCTTTCTTTGTTCCCAGGTGGCTGATTTAGGTTCCAGGCAGAATGGAATTGGGTGCCCTGGAAGCCTGAGGTAGATTTGGTACTATGGAGGGTGCACTTGCTGATATGAAGTTTTATTTTATACAAATCCTGGAGAAGCTAAGTGAGGCCATGTCAGTGTTGCCAGAAGACATGAGAATCATGCCAGATCTCTGTGGCTTAACATTGGAACATAGTGGTAAGTGCAGCTATATTTGTGTTTCTTAATAGTTGAAAGCCAGGTTTATATAAATAGGAAGAAAGAGTTTGCCATAGAATTTATGCTTTAGTTGGAGAAAAATGTAAAGTTGTTGATAAATTAGGCTGATTAAAAAATAATGTGAACACTTAAATTACCTTTAATGGAGTGCAGCCTTGAGAAGAAGATACCACGTGGTCCAAGTCTATATCAAATTTGAGTTTAAAATAGATACTTTCAGAAAAGAATCAAAAGGAAGAAAGTCTTAATGTTCACATTGAGTTAAGGTGATGGCTAGCTTTGGAACTGGAGTTCAGCCAGTAGAAGATGTGTTCAGGTCCTTTTAATCCCAAAAAGTGGATGCGAAATAACCATAAATATATGTCAGAAGAGTAAAAAAAGCCAGCAAGTTAAGATAGCAACAAAATATGGCTAAAATGAGCATTGCAATGTCCAGGAAAGCATAAACTACACGCAAAAAAGCTCAAGAATGGGATGACCAACTGAGCAAACAGTGAACTGAAAAGATATGTAAATTATTGTAACAAGTGCTAAATTATAAGTAAGGTCAGAGCAAATATTGAAACACTTGATGAATATTTTCTACTGCACTTGGAGAAGTTAAATTGATGTCAGGGACTCAGGGACTTAGAATTGGGGAGAATGAAGCAATCAGAAAGTAAGTACCAGTCAATCATCAGTCAAAAGGGGCTTTGAGGAAATTGATTTATGCTTCTGTAAAGACTTTTGATGGAGGAAGAAACAAAATATAAATTAAATTATTTGAACACATTATTAAAGGCTTTATTTGTTTTTAACTGATATACGTAATTGTTTAAGATGATGTAAAAATTTTCCAAGTTCGTTTACAATTTAAAGAGTTTGTATTGTTTAGAAGTCTGTAAAGGATGTGAGAGAAACACTGGGTAATTCTTCTTCATGTATTTTTATTTTCTTTTTTATGTAAACAACATAAATTTATTGCTTACAGTTCTGGAGGCTGGGAAGTTCAAGATCAAGGTACCAGCAAATTTCATTACCTGGTAAGCATTCATTTCTTATGGATGGTGCCTTCTGTGTGTCCGGTGTAAAGGGCAAAACAGGCTCCCTTTCCTCAAGCCTCTTGTCATTAAAGCCTGTAAAAATTACAGTAAAAGTATTCAGAATGGGTTAAGCAATTTGACCGTCAGGAAATTCAATTGAAAAGTGAGGTTCAAAACCTTCCTCAGAAAGTTAAAGTTCTAAATTGTATTGAGAAAATACAATAAAGATTCACAGAATATTTATATTAGAATGAATTAATTAAATACAGAACATTTTAAAGGCAACTAAAAAGATCAGCCATGCTCATTAAGTAACAGATACCTACAGAAAATGTCTGTCTTTGTCTTGCATTTAAAAATTGATATATCATAGTTATACATAGGCCAAACTTCTTTTTTTATTTATTATACTTTAAGTTTTAGAGTACATGTGCACAACGTGCAGGTCTGTTACATATGTATACATGTGCCATGTTGGTGTGCTGCACCCAGTAACTCGTCATTTAACATTAGATATAACTCCTAACGCTATCCCTCCCCCCTCCCCCCACCCCACAACAGGCCCTGGCACGTGATGTTCCCCTTCCTGTGACCATGTGTTCTCATTGTTCAATTCCCACCTATGAGTGAGAACATGCGGTGTTTGGTTTTTTGTCCTTGTGATAGTTTGCTGAGAATGATGGTTTCCAGCTTCATCCATGTCCCTACAAAGGAAATGAACTCATCATTTTTTATGGCTGCATAGTATTCCATGGTGTATATGTGCCATATTTTCTTAATCCAGTCTATCATTGTTGGACATTTGGGTTGGTTCCAAGTCTTTGCTATTGTGAATAGTACTGCAATAAACATGCATGTGCATGTGTCTTTACAGCAGCATGATTTATAATCCTTTGGGTATATACTCAGTAATGGGATAGCTGGGTCAAATGGTATTTCTAGTTCTAGATGCCTGAGGAATCGCCACACCAACTTCCACAATGGTTGAACTAGTTTACAGTCCCACCAACAGTGTAAAAGTGTTCCTATTTCTCCACATCCTCTCCAGCACCTGTTGTTTCCTGACTTTTTTTTTTTTTTTTTTTTTTTTTTTTTTTGAGACGGAGTCTCGCTCTGTCGCCCAGGCTGGAGTGCAGTGGCGCGATCTCGGCTCACTGCAAGCTCCGCCTCCCGGGTTCATGCCATTCTCCTGCCTCAGCCTCCCGAGTAGCTGGGACTACAGGCGCCCGCTACCACGCCCGGCTAATTTTTTGTATTTTTAGTAGAGACGGGGTCTCGATCTCCTGACCTCGTGATCCGCCCGCCTCGGCCTCCCAAAGTGCTGGGATTACAGGCGTGAGCCACCGCGCCCGGCCTGTTTCCTGACTTTTTAATGATCGTCATTCTAACTGGTGTGAAATGGTATCTCACTGTGGTTTTGATTTGCGTTTCTCTGATGGCCAGTGATGATGAGCATTTTTTCATGTGTCTTTTGGCTGCATAAATGTCTTGTTTTGAGAAGTGTCTGTTCATGTCCTTCACCCACTTTTTGATGGGGTTGTTTGTTTTTTTCTTGTAAATTTGTTTGAGTTCATTTTAGATTCTGGATATTAGCCCTTTGTCAGATGAGTAGGTTGCAAAAATTTTCTCCCATTCTGTAGGTTGCCTATTGACTCTGATGGTAGTTTCTTTTGCTGTGCAGAAGCTCTTTAGTTTAATTAGATCCCATTTGTCAATTTTGGCTTTTGTTGCCATTGCTTTTGGTGTTTTAGACATGAAGTCCTTGCCCATGCCTATGTCCTGAATGGTATTGCCTAGGTTTTGTTCTAGGGTTTTTCTGGTTTTAGGTCTAACATTGAAGTCTTTAATCCATCTTGAATTAATTTTTGTATAAGGTGTAAGGAAGGGATCCAGTTTCAGCTTTCTCCATATGGCTAGCCAGTTTTCCCAGCACCATTTATTAAATAGGGAATCCTTTCCCCATTGCTTATTTTTGTCAGATTTGTCAAAGATTAGATAGCTGTAGATATGTGGCGTTATTTCTGAGGGCTCTGTTCTGTTCCATTGGTCTATATCTCTGTTTTGGTACCAGTACCATGCTGTTTTGGTTACTGTAGCCTTGTAGTATAGTTTGAAGTCAGGTAGTGTGATGCCTCCAGCTTTGTTCTTTTGGCTTAGGATTGACTTGGCAATGTGGGCTCTTTTTTGGTTCCATATGAACTTTAAAGTACTTTTTTCCAATTCTGTGAAGAAAGTCATTGGTAGCTTGATGGGGATGGCGCTGAATCTATAAATTACCTTTGGCAGTATGGCCATTTTCACAATATTGATTCTCCCTACACATGAGCATGGAATGTTCTTCCATTTGTATCCTCTTTTATTTCATTGAGCAGTGGTCTGTAGTTCTCCTTGAAGAGGTCCTTCACATCCCTTGTAAGTTGGATTCCTAGGTATTTTATTCTCTTTGAAGCAATTGTGAATGGGAGTTCACTCATGATTTGGCTCTCTGTTTGTCTGTTATTGGTGTATAAGAATACTTGTGATTTTTGCACATTGATTTTGTATCCTGAGACTTTGCTGAAGTTGCTTATCAGCTTAAGGAGATTTTGGGCTGAGACGATGGGGTTTTCTAGATATACAATCATGTCATCTGCAAGCAGGGGCACTTTGACTTCCTCTTTTTCTAATTGAATACCCTTTATTTCTTTCTCCTGCCTGATTGCCCTGGCCAGAACTTCCAACACTATGTTGAATAGGAGTGGTGAGAGAGGGCATCCCTGTCTTGTGTACATAGGCCAAAATTCTTAAAGAAAAATTGGAAAAAATTACTTGTTCCTATCAAAGACTCACTATTTCCCATATTTAAAAAGCTTATAGTTATTGACTTATAGTTCAGTTGAACCTCAATGAGGTTCAATGAGTTAGGAAAATCCATATGAAAGACCAGAGATCAGCTAATTTTCCCCACAAGAGCCAGATGGAAAATAGTTCAGGTTTTGCAGGCCAGGAAGCAAAATTTAAATATTATGAAATAATTAAATATTAAATATTATGAAAATAAGTAAATAAAATTTAAATATTATGAAACTATAAATATTAAATATTAGGCAACAAGACAGAAAAATTCCCACATAATGTTCTATTGGCTAAAAAAAAAAACCCTGACAATAGTGAATGCTAGAAAAAAAATGCAGAACAAGGGGAACTCTTATTTATTACTGATGAGAATGCAAAATGTTAAAATCACTTTGAGGAACCACTTGGCAGTTTCTTATAAAGCTTAAAATAAACTCAACATATGACCCAACCCCATCATTCTTCATAGAACTAGAAAAAACAATCCTAAAATTCATGTGGAACCAAAAAAGAGCCCACATAGCCAAAGCAAGACTAAGCAAAAAGAACAAATCTGGAGGCATCACATTACCTGATTTGAAACTATACTATAAGGCCATAGTCACCAAAACAGCATGGTATGGGTATAAAAGTAGGCACATAGACCCATGGAACAGAAGAGAGAACCAAGAAATAAAACCAAATACTTATAACCAACTGATCTTTGACAAAGCAAACAGAAACATAAAGTGGGGAGAGGACATGCTATTCAACAGATGTTGCTGGGATAATTGGCAAGCCATATGTAGGATAATGAACCAGGATCCTCATCTCTCACCTTATACAAAAATCAACTCAAGATGGATCAAAGCTGAGTGCGGTGGCTCACGCCTGTAATCCCAGCACTTTGGGAAGCCGAGGCAGGTGGATCACGAGGTCAGGAGATCAAGACCATTCTGGCTAACATGGTGAAACCCCGTCTCTACTAAAAATACAAAAAATTAGCTGGGCATGGCAGCGGGCGCCTGTAGTCCCAGCTACTCGGGAGGCTGAGGCAGGAGAATGGCGTGAACCCAGGCAGCAGAGCTTGCAGTGAGCTGGTATTGAGCCACTGCACTCTAGCCTGGGGGACAGAGCAAGACTCTGTCTAAAAAAAAAAAAAAAAAGATGGATCAAAGACTTAAATCTAAGACCTAAGACCTGAAACTATAAAAATTCTAGAAGATAACATTGAAAAAAACCTTCTAGACATTGGCTCAGGCAAAGATTTCTGACCAAGAACCCAAAAGCAAATGCAACAAAATCCAAGATAAATAGGTGGGGTTTAATGAAACTAAAGAGCTTTGGCACAGCAAAAGAACAGTCAGCAGAGTAGATTACTCACAAAGTGGGAGAAAATTTTTCACAATCTATACAATCTGTACATCTGACAAAGGACTAATAATCCAGTATTTACAAGGAACTCAGACAAATTAGCAAGAAAAAATCAAACAATCCCATCAATAAGTGGGCTAAGGACATGAATAGACAATTCTCAAAAGAAGATATACAAATGGCCAGCAAACATATGAATAAATGCTCAACATCACTAATGATCAGAGAAATGCAAATCAAAACTGCCATGAGATACCAACCTTACTCCTGCAAGAATGACCATTATAAAAAATTTTTAAAAAATATATATTGGCATGGATGTGGTGAAAGGGAACACTTCTACACTGCCGATGGGAATGTAAACTAGTACAACCACTATGGAAAACAGTGTTGAGATTCCTTAAAGAACTAAAAGTGGAACTACCATTTGATCCAGCAATCCCCTTACTGGGTATCTACTCAGAGGAAAAGAAGTCATTATACGAAAAATATACTTGCACATGCATGTTTATAGCAGCACAATTTGCAATTGCAAAAATGTGGAACCAGTCCAAATGCCCATCAATCAACGAATAGATAAAGAAACTGTGGTATATATATATATATATATATATACACACAATGGAATACTACTCAGCCATAAAAAGGAATGAATTAATGGCATTCACAACAACCTAGATGGGATTGGAGACTATTATTCTAAATGAAGTAACTCAGGAATGGAAAACCAAATATTGTATGTTCTTGCTCATAAGAGGGAGCGAAGCAATGAGGATGCAAAGGCATAAGAATGATACAATGGACTTTGGGGACTGGGTGGGGGAAAGGGTAGGAGGGGAGGGAGGGATAAAAGACTACAAATTGAGTTCAGTGTATACTGCTCAGGTGGTGGGTGCACCAAAATCTCACAAATCACCACTAAAGAACTTATGTAACCAAATACCACCTGTTACCTAAAAACCTATGGAGATAAAAAATTTAAAAAAACATTCAGCTACAAACCTCTTTTGCTACACTCATTGTTTAGTATATGACACATTTTTGCATGATTCTGTTATATAGGTTTTAATAGTAGGTAATTAGGACAGTGGGTAATACTTATCATTCATTCATTTATTTAAAAAATACTTATTTAGAGCCCATTCTCTCAATACAGGTCAGTACTATGAAGGAGAGGTACACAGTGAAATCAGGCCTAGTCCTTACAGACATGTTGGTATGCCAGGGAGTCAACTTTCCTCCAAAAGAGTGATGTTTCCTTGTCTCCAACAATGGCAAAACTATAATATATAATATTTCTTTATCAGCGGTTTGCACATTGTGTGTTAATAGATTTTGTTCTTGTCATTCAGAAGAGCACAGTGGAAATACATGAAGGATGGGCAGATGTGTGAAGGCCTCAAATGAATGTATGTAGTTGTTAGAAAAACAAATGTTTTTCTTAAACACAAGTTGAAAGACAGGGGAGCAGAGGAAGTATAAGAAAAATTATGGATTTATAATGAGGAGAGTTGATGTTATGGATAAAGTCAACAGAACACTGCCTTCTTACATCATTATCCAACTTTCTACTTTGTCACCTCTATCTCAAAATTGACGGTCTGATAGCTAGTTTATTTTATATTTGCCCCAGGTTGTGCTCTACCTTCTTTTTCCATTTTCCTTCTGCTGAATATTCTGATTTTAAATGATGAGACGATTTAATCCTTCGGTTACCTACCAAATACATCTAATTTTCTCATTCTAGGTAGGTTGTCTTCCCATTGAAGGGTGAGTGGCTCTCAATATTAAGAGACAACATAGAAATTTCTGAAGATTTTAACTTCTCCATCTGATAACCTAGAAATAATTACTTCAGTCAAATACCTCAGAAGGAAGAAATCCCATTAAGATCGATAGGAAAGAGTCAGATATTATTTTTGAATTATTTTATTTGTAAAGGATCAGTGAATTTGTGGTTGAGAGGGTCAGTTATGGAATATGAGATATTAACCTATTTGATCTTGCTGGCAATCCATAAAAAGTTAATTTGCAAATAAAAGATTAGCCTTTAAATCACATTCATAATAACAAGAAGGTAAACTGCAGTCTATATTACTCATATATATTTTTCAAAGTAACACATAAAATGATAGGACTTGATTTTTGCTCTGAGTAAATGAGTCAGTCTATTAACATTTATTTATTGCCCACTTTTTAGATGCCTATGGATATTTCTAGATAAATACAAAGGAATATAAGGACATAGTTCTCACTACCATGCAAATTGCAGACAATCTGAGGATTAGGATTCACACTTGAAATGATATCCAACAAACCCCATTGTGTGGTACAAAAGCATATATGTAGACAGGGTGGGTAGTAAAGAATGCTAACAATTTTGGAGGAGGTTAAATCAACATGTAATTTTAGAACAGGAGATCTTCTGACCTGTATATGAAGAATGTGGAGTATAAAAATAATTACTTTTGTTCTCTTCCTGGTGATACAAAAAGACAAGAAGCCTCCTCATTGCCCCTTTTATGTCCCTGTTGCTCAAAGTGTAGATAAAAGGGTTAAGCATAGGAGTCACCAAACTGTAGAACAGGGACATGAATTTGTTTTTGTCCTGGGAGTTGGCAGAGGGCTGTACATACATGCTAATTACAGGCCCATAGAGGAGAGATACAATATGAGAACCACATGTGTTGAAGACCTCCTTCTTTCCCCCTGAGGACTGAATCCTCAGCACAGTAGCTACAATGAATCCACAGTAAGCAAAGATAATTGATTAGAGAACGAGGGACTAAAATATCCTCACAATGGAGAGCATAGATACATTGAATGTGGTGTCAAAACGTGATATCTTGATCATCGCTGAGACCTCACACAGAAAGTCGTCCACCTTGTTACCGCCTAGTGGCAGCTGGACGGCAAGGGATGACTGAAGTAGAGTTGGCCAAACTGCTTAGCCATGCCATGGCCACTAGGAGGACACAGAGTTGCTGATGCATGATAGCTGGGTACCTCAAGTGTTTGCAGATGGCAATGTAAGGATCCAAAGACGTCACAGCTAAAATGATGCATTTGGTGCTCCCCTAAAATATCCCCTGGGTACCACAATAATTGAGATGTTGTCCACCAGTATGCAGAGATAAGCAACAAGCCCCATTATGAAGAGAAACATTTCCGGCTAGGGGTGGTCAAAGAAACCCCAGAGAATGAAGATCTTTCGAGCAATTGCATTGCCCAGATTCCTGTCATTGCTCTTGTTGGTGGATTTGAGGGAAAGGAAAGGCTACTTTAGTATTGAATTTTTCTGATACTCCACTTATTCAGTTAAGTAAAATAAACTGAGTTATGAAGGGGTTTTCTCTGTGATGTAACTAAACTGATGTGATTTGACACTTGTAAGCATGAAAAATTTTATCTAAAGGCCAAAATGTTACCTTTCTAGTGCCTCTAAAAGGAAGATCAACAAATCTCTGTATCTTACCCAAGAAATGCAATATAGCAAACTTTTACAGAATAATGATTAAGTAATGGGAAACATAATTAATCTTATATTAGAAAAATGAATCAGATGGAGAAATGAATAATTTTAAAGAATGCCCAAGAACTACCCATGCTAACTAACACGTGTTAATTTCTTTCATCCAAAATCTGTTGGCCCTGGTCATGTTCTGGTTCAATTTGTGAGTTGATGTAGGTGAGTTCAGAACTCACTGAGCTCCACGTGGATCAGTCTGATTTGCATAGAAACAACATAGTGCTATTCCTTACCTCTTCTTCCCAAATCCTGGAATGACGATCGCCAACATAAAACTTTTGTCATAAAAGGAAGCACACAGCTGAAAGGAAATGGTTCCTTGCAACACGTTCAGTACTTACAAGACAAGATAATTCATTGCACAGCCAAGTGATATAAGGTCATTAAAGTATCAGCAGTTATACAGTATGATGTATGTTAGTGCTTTTCACACTGTGAGTTGTAATCTATTACGCAGTTATATACTATTTTATTGATTTATTTTACTTATTCTCATCACTCATTTTATATATGTGTTTGTATGACCTGGATTCTGATGTACAATATATTCCTTACTATAGGTAATGGTAAAAAATTTGGACAATACTGGCATAGTAGAAAAGAAACAAGAATGATATTAGAAAATCTAGATTTAGTCCACTTCCCAATTACTAATACATGTACATTTTAGGTCTTGCTTAAATATTCAGAAACTTCTTTATCTATCTTGCTCCGTTGTGGAGATTAATTAGCACCATATGTGTGAACACGCTTTATTAAGTCCAATACTCAATGTTGGGTTGGTTATTTTTCATGAAATAAAGTTCCCTGTTTGATTTTAAGTCTATATCTGATAGTTAATTTTTCTTTGTATCCAAATATTAACCATGTCCTTATATTCCCATAAGAAGTCTTAGAAGGGTTGTTTTTTCTACCATTTTATTTCCCTACATTACTCAGATCCCTTGCCTTGAATCTGATGTTAATGATTTCTAGATTTTAATATCAGTACACATATGTTTTTAATCAGTGGAAATGCTCACAAATGCAAACAGTACCATAGATTATTTTTCAAAAACATGTTTCAATGTTTTAAATTATAATGATTAGTATTAGTATTAATAGGTGTCAATTTATTTATACTTTTTTTAACTGCTCCTTGCCTAGCAGGGCTATCCTATAGGCAGTGTGCCCACAGTAGCCTTTTTTAAAATAGTTTTTTTAGTATGCAAATTTTCATAAGGAGATCACAACATGCATGTGGTTGTATAAAAAGATTAAATCAATCAAGCTAAATAGATCATTTCTACTCATATGCAACAGTTGCCTAAATCAGTGTTGATATTTTTTAGGGGTACCCTCTTTTCTTGCAAAAAAGAACATTAATCTTTTTCTTCCATCAGAATTCAGTGTTAATTGGGGATAAAGATTGAATGTTCTTTCTGTATTCAGTGGTTTTATGTCATATCAGAGGTCTTTAATAGTTATTTATTTGATTGAAAGGATCCCAAATCTTTTGATTTATTGTTTATTTATTTATTTATGCTTTAACTTTTAATTAAAATGCTTAGGATACAGATTGACTTTCTTTTGTAAATGACTGTTTTACTTTTTCTGAAATAGGACATACATGCACTCTGATAAAACAGAATGAAACATCTTAATTCATGAGAATTCCTGTACAAGGCGCTGATCCTGTGTTTAGAGCTGAGCTCCTCACAGCAGCTGCCCTACGTAGAACCGACAGTTTTCTAGCTTGCAACAAAGTTACTAGGGACAAATAGGGAAAAAAAATCCGAAACTAAAAGTAAGAAAACCAACATGGAAGCAATCATACTTCTCATGTCTCTGATAAGAGAAGTATGGGGAACCTTTAACCAAAGGAAAATTTAAAAAAAATGCAAGTTAACTATCTAGTTCATTCACTGTTAGCTAGATTTGTTCAGTTAAGGCTTTAACCCCTTTCCAAACAATTTTATCTTAATCCAGCTATGCTTGCTAATAAATGAAATGCATGCACTTCCCGGAAATATACTTCACTGAGCCTCTGCATTCAGTACCTGGCAGTGAAAAAGTATGTTTCCCGAACAAGTCAGTACTGAAGACTGAGAACTCCAACTAAATAACTATACTCTCTCCCCAATAATATGTTATCCACATTTTCCCTACCCTCACATTAGAATAAAGATATCCTCCTAACTTTTCATCTCCTATCTCCTGTCTTTTCCTAGGAGATCTTATCTTTTGATCTTTTACTACAAGGGTAGAATTTAGGTTAAGATCATAAAAAACCAATTTCACATGTGACACTAAGAAAATGGAATGCTATAAAATCAATCCTCATCACCGTGGTAGGGATGCTGTTGCTTTTATCCTGAGTCTTTACTGCCAATAAGTGATGCTGCTTCCAAAGGAACAGCTCTACAGAAAGTTTTTGAGTTAGTGTTTCCCCCCAGCTTATTTCTACAATGGGGAAAGGCAATTTCATATTAAAAAAATCCACACAAACACACCTGGAAAAGCTACAGATGTTAACCTTTACTTTAAACACAGCAACGTAGATATCTAAGGAGATAAGATGTAAGACAAAGAGCTCAGGAAAAATCCAATAGAGACCAAATTCTGCAAATGGAAATTTTAAAGCCCAGTGAGTAAATTTTTCCTGCATTCAGACAAGTGCTACAATACATTTAAGTCCTCAACTCCCAGAATTAAGAGCCCTTAAGCTGTTAACTTTGTCCTGTCTTCCTATTCAGAAAAATTTTCCTCTAGAATCTGTGCAAAAGTAACTGACACACCTGCAGTATGTGACAACATAAGAGATGTTCTCAACTTTTTCATGAGGTGAAAGTTACTTTTTATAACTGAAAATGAAAAAGGAAGGTGCTATAGAGGGAAATAAAATTTCACCAAAGTATAAAAGTAAAGACTGGATGAAACCTATAACTTTATAAATAAGAATAATAACAGTAACTTACACTATAATTAACTGCTCAATAGTGAATGATCTGCTACACATTCCTTGAGAAGGAATGACCCTAGCTTACCACAGTGGAAACCTGCCGCAATTACAAGGCCAGGATTCTGCCCCTTTTCTGGTTCTCTGTTCACAAGGTAATGCCACCTTCTCCAAGGCAGTTAGAGAGACAGGTGAGCTCAGGGGAGCTTCTCTCACCAACCTGCTAACTCAGCAGGAGTGAGTTTACCCAAATGAGCTCTGGCCTCCAATGTGTATCTGTTCATAATTTTATGAAGTATCTAAATGTCATTCATTAGTTTAAAAAAGAATAGAAAACTCTGGACTAAGTAAATTTTGAACTCGAAAAGTTAGAAGGGGTATCAATTATATTAACAACACTTTCTTTAAAAATAGAATCACTTTCTTTTGAAATCAACCAGAGTGGTGAGATGTGTTTTTCTTTTCAGGTGCCCCATAATGGCACACAGCTTTACTCAGCAACCCCTGCCAGCTTCCAAGCCCCAGGATACTGACCTGCACCAGCACATGGGGCAGCATTACCTCCCCAACAGTGTGGAGAAGAGAACATTTCACCACTGGGTGATGAGAGTAGACAGTGACTCTTGGCTTCTCAATGCTAGACATGATTGGAGACCTTTCATTGTTCTATTAGAAAAGTCCATGAAGAAGCTGTGAACAGGATCAGTCCAGAGGAGAAAAACTCTTATTTTCTCTGTCCAAACATCAGTCAATACATTGGGAGAGCCAGCAGAATCCCTCGCCCTAGCCTTGCCTCTTGAGCACACTGCACATGAACACTTCAGTGGGGTGAGCGTTCAGCTCCTAAAGGGCCATGTTCCTCTTTCCTGTGGTCTGTCCAGAAAGCCCAAATATCTCAAAGAGTTTTTCTTCACTTATTGCATTGTTCTGTCTATTTTGTTACCCAATATAAGGATTGGCACATTGGATATTATTTCATCAGTCATTAAAGCATTAAGCTCAACTTTAGATTCCATGAGGCCAGAATGATCTGCAGAATCCACCAGAAAAACAATCTCATTAATTGCTTGGAGATAATTTTTTCAAACCTGACATGCTTGCTTGTGTCCACCAAGATCAAGAGTTGTAAAAGTCATTCCAGCAATTAATAGCTTTTCTGATGTCGGATGTAGTGTTGGAACATGTTGACCCAATCTGTCATCTTTGAGCATGTGAAGAAGAGTGGTTTTGCCTGCGTTGTCCAAACCGAAAAATACAAGTTTTCCAAATTTCTTGTAGAGTCCTAGGAACTGGAGCACACTGCTGAAGCCATTGTAGATCCACTCAAAGAGGAAAGACATTATTCATGCTTATTATGGCCTGAAGGGCTCCTCCAGCAAAGGTGGGTGGCCCAGGCCCTCCCTCAGAGCACACCCCAAATATTTTCAAATATGAAAACCTACTTACTCTTTAGAGGTAAGGAAGGTACTTTAAAAAATTTATTTTATTTTATTTAAGTTCTGGGATACATGTGTGGGATGTGCAGGTTTGTTACATAAGTAAACGTGTGCCATGGTGGTTTGCTGCATCTATCAACCCATCACGTATGTATTAAGCCCAGCATGCATTAGCTATTTTTCCTGATGTTCTCCCTCCCCTCTCCACCCCCAGACAGGCCCCACTGTGTGTTGTTCTCCTCCCTGTATCCATGTTTTCTCATTGCTCAGCTCATCATTCCATGAGTGAAAACATGCAGGGTTTGGTTTTCTGCATAATGGTTCCTGCATAATGGCTTCCAGCTCCATCCATGTCCCTGCAAAGGACACGATCTTGTTCTAAAGGTACTTTAAAAAAAGTACTTTATAGGGTTGCCACTCACTCTATAAAGCTGTGAAACTTTGTTCTCTGTACAGATAATAGAGTTGAAATTTCTTGGTAAGGGTCATTATAGCAATTCCTTAGTGGGTATGCTTCCCTCTAACTTCCTTGCCATAATAAAATGAAATGATAAATTTTGGCACCTGTTATTTATAATGGACTCAGGTCTGAGAGAAGCCAAGGAAACTGAATCTGCCTTAACAATTTTATAAAAATTTCCTTGGATCACAAGGAGGAAATTAAGATTATTATTTTAGGTGCCAAGATCTAATTTTCTTTTATTTATAGTTTTTCTCAAGATATTATTTCTTTAGATTTCTGCTACCATAGAGCCATCATAATCCTAGTTCCACATACAGACAAAAGAAGTCTTCAATAATTTCTTCCACAATAACCCAACACAGTATAGACTTTTTACCTTCCATTGACTACATTAAAGTTCCTCATTTTATTTAAACCATAAAAACATTGTGTCAAGAAGATATTAACATACATTAATGTTATTAAAACATGATTAAAAATCATGGAATCTGGAATTTTGAAAATATGGGTCCTGAAAACTTTTGGCCATGGGCTTGTTTTTAAAGTAATTGCTTTTTTCACCCATGGTTCACAATTAGCAGCAGATCTAGCAATCTGGAATCCTTCTAGCCAAGTTCACACTGATCATCTCAGGCTTGTTCTTTGCTCCCACTTTTGTTTTCATCATTTGCTGCATTCTATAACTATATTCAGCTTCTGGTCCTTTATTTTTTAAAACAATATTTAATTGACAATAAAGATTGTATATATTCAAGGTGTGCAGTGTGATGATTTGATATACGTATACCCTTTGTTTTTATTTCTTTTCTGTCTGAATCCACTCCCACCCAATTCATTATTGACATTAATGAATACATTTGACTTATTCTCGGTAACCCTCAGCTTTATGTAGGGATACAGTATATATATATATATTTTTTTTCCCTATTATAGCTTTAATTTTAAAACATGATCCTTTCTGATGGTATTAGTTTCCTTACATCATCCTGCTGGTGTGGAAGTGAAAAGTGAATGATAAATTCTTACTACACAGTTAATCTAGTTAATGAAACTATCATTCTCAGCAAACTAACCCAAGAACAGAAAACCAAACACTGCATGTTCTCACTCATAAGTGGGAGTTAAACAATGAGAACACATGGAACAGGGAGAGGAACATCCCACACTGGGGCCTGTCAGGGATGGAGGACTGGGGGAGGGATAGCATTAGGAGAAATACCTAATGTAGATGACAGGTTGGTGGGTGCAGCAAACCACCATGGCACATGTATACCTATGTAACAAACCTTCACATCCTGCACATGTACCCCAGAAAAACTGTAATAATAAAAAAAGGTAAAATAGCGATATAAAATAGAAATTTATGAGTATATACTGATAAAAATATAAAAAATGAATACATGAAGGGGGAAAAGGGAAAACTCTTAATGGCACATCAGTTAATAAATATAGAGGGCATACTAGGATTGGAGAATTATTAATAGATGTTAAAATTAGTGGGTGAAAGTTTAAGACATTTACATAGTTATGCTGTCTGCCACAAATTACTTATTAATTTCTCAGGAAAAAGGCATAATGAGATCTGGGGGACACCATGTTAGTCAAGTGACTAAAGTTAACAGCATCGATTTTAAGACAAACTATCCTTATACACTTTTCTGAAATGTTGCATCATTATTGGCTCCTGAATGGGAGAAAATATAAAGAACATTTTGGAGATAATTAACAAGATCTGAATATGAACTATTGATTACATAATAGTATTATATGACTGTAAAATGTCCCAGTTTTTATGATTGTACTGGCTATGTATGGAAGTTAATGTCCTTAGCAACTATACACTAAAGTGTATGTAGTAATAAAAAGGTTGGGAAAAATTTCATAGATATGAAAACTACATTTATATATTACATATGTGTAAAAGTAAGGCAAATGTAAATGAATGATGACTCTGGAAAAGGGTATTTAAAGTTCTGTATTATACTTGCAACTTTAAAAATTACATTAAAAATACATTATAAATGTAAAATGTAGTAAACTACATTAAATAAAAAGATGACAATAAAAAGAACACTTGTGGTTATGATACTTCCTGCCAGATCAAGGCCTTAGCATCTACTGTTTTGTCTACTCTGAAGAATTTACTACCTCACTTATAGATCTGAGCCTAAATGACACTTCCCTAGAAGAGCTTTCCTTGAACCTTTCCTGGTTTAAACTAATCACCCATCCATTTTATTCATGAAGCCTTGTCATTTTTACTTTATAGTACTTAGTACAACTTGTAATTACATGTTTAGTATTATTATTTGTTTTCTTTCTCCCACTAGACTATAAAGTTTGTGAGGGAAGGAATTGTGTCTGTCTTATTCACTAACAAATACTCGGCAAATAGCAAAATCTGTATGTATAGTAAGCGATTGAAAAACATTAGGCAAATTTATAACTATTTTAATATCTGTATATACTATATATCTATATATAATATCTTTGCTCTGGATGTGCACTTAGGAAGGCAGAGAAAATTTAAGTGTCTCTGATTTAGGTGGTATGTGATAATAATGTAGATA
Organism: Homo sapiens; assembly: GCF_000001405.40. Classification (NCBI taxonomy): domain Eukaryota; kingdom Metazoa; phylum Chordata; class Mammalia; order Primates; family Hominidae; genus Homo; species Homo sapiens. Next base: position 345,899 of record NT_167245.2, read on the forward strand.
CAAGTAATATAAAAATATTTTAGAACATTGATGGTGATTCAAATTTTAGAGCTCAACCCATCTTATTTTTGTTATTTAAGTTACTAATGCCCCCCAAAGTATAAATATTTATAAAATTATTTTTAAGAAGACTTTGGGAAATTATTAATGGTAAGCTTGAAGGTTGGAGTAGATATTTCTAAAATTAGTTGCCAAATTTATAAATACATTAATAAAAATTTCACTATCAATAATTTTTATTTCAAATAAAATTCAACTTTAGGTTATTATGGCTTTAAGATAGTGTCTAATGGGAAGCAAATAAACATTAATGCAAGACTTTTCAAGGTGAAATAGACTTAGAGCACCAGTTTTATGATGTTTAGACTTTTTCCTAATACTTAAGAAATTGTATGATGAAATCAGAAAATACAGAAAAATAAGAAGCCTGGAATAAAAATTTCCTGATATCCTGTCACTTACCTCACCACAGTTAGCTTGGTGAACTTATTTCTAGTGTTTTCTTACACATATAGGTATACATAAAATTAGGGTCATGTTCTAAGTGTAGAATCGTTTCTTGAGTTTTCTCCACCACTTAACAGTGAGTATTTCTCCATAATATTATTTTTTTTAAAAAAAATGGCCAATTAACATATGCTGGTAAACAAGTCCATCATAAAGGCTTAAACCAACAAATATTTCATTTTTGCTTATGTTTTGTGTTTATTGAATGTTGCTAGGGACTTGTCCATGTCATTGTGCATTAGGGATCCAAACTGATGAAGTAGACACTATCCAAAGTTCTCTAGATTGTTGTGATAGAGGGAAATAAAAGTTGCAAAACACACTCTGCCCTTAAAATGTCTTCCCAGAAGTTAAACAATCACTGTAACCACTGGGCAGTTCTTGTGAGGCGTTCCAAATGTGAGTTTGGAAATGTCCCTATATCCCACTCATTGAAAAGTAGCTCCTCCATCCATTGTTCTTCATAACCCTCGGGTTCCACTCAGTTGTTAGGTTCATTATCTGCCTTCTAAGTTATTGCAGGTGATAGTTTATGAAATGTTTCCTTATTGTATAACATGGATCACTTTATCTCCCTTCCTCCCTCCCTCCCTTCCTCCCTCCCTTCTCTTTTTCCTTCCTTCCTTCCTTCCTTCCTTCCCTTTTTCCTTCCTTCCTTCCCTTTTTTTTCTTCTTTCCCTTCCCTCCCTCCCTCTCTCTTTCTCTTTCTTTTCTTTCCTTTCTCTCTTTCTTTCTTTCTCTTTCTTTTCTTTCTTTTTTCTCCTCTTTCTTTCACCCTCCCTGTCTTTCTTTCTTCTTTCTTTCTTTTTCTTTCTTTCTCTCTTTCTTCTCTTTCTTTCTTTTTTTTGAGACAGGGTCTTCTCTGTCTGTACTCTGCAGTGGTGTGATCTTGGCTCCCTGCTGCCTTAACCTCCCAGGCTCAGGTGATCCTTCTGCCTCAGCATCCCCTAGTAGCTGGGACTACAAGTGTTTGCTCCTACACCCAATGAATTTTTGTATTTTTTTAGAGATGAGTTTTCACTACTTTGCTCAGGCTTGTCTTGAACTCCTGAGCTCAGGCAATCTGCCCACCTTGGCCTCCCAAAGTGCTGGGATTACAGGTGTGAGCCACCAAACCTGGCACCATAATTTCAATCTCTCTCATTTTTTATTAGACTTTTACTTTAGGTTCAGGGGTACATGTGCAGGTTTGTTACGTAGGTAAATCGTATTTCATAGGGTTTGTTGTATAGACTATTTCACCACCCAGGTGATAAGCATAGTATATGATAGGTAGTTTTTTAGTCCTTAAAAAACTAAACCACCCTCAAGTAGGCCTCAGAGTCTACTTTTCCCTTCTTTGTGTTCATGTGTACTCAGTGTTTAGTTCTCACTTATGAATGAGAGTGTGAGGTATTTGGTTTTCTGTGCCTACGTTACTTTGCTTAAGAAAATGGTCTTCAGCTCCATCCATGTTCCTGCAAAAGGCATCATCTAATTCTTTTTCTGTGGCTGCTTAGTATTCCATGGTGTATATGTAGCACATTTTCTTTAGCCAGTCTACCCCAGGAGAGGCCGGCAGACAAGGGAGCACTCAGATTAGACTGGTCCCATCCCACAGGTAAGATAGCCCTGCTCCGTTCAGGTCTGGCAGTTACCATAGGCTGAGACCACCTAGAGGAGCATGGTGAGCTTTGGGGGAATGGGCGTCTCTGGCCATGCTCCACTGCAGCCGTTCCTGTGTCAGACCCTCTGGGCTTTTCACAGGCTGAAGTCCTGTCCTTGCCACCTTTCCAAATAGCTCTCCCTGCCAGCTCAAGTGTCCGCGGGGTCATGGGGTCTCCTGCAGTTGGGATTCTGGAGGTCTGTGGCGAGAGTGGCCACTCCTCGTGTGTTCAACGGACCTCTTCCCCAGGAGTCACTGCGGGCCAAGAACATGGGCCAGAAACGAGTCCGGGTACTCTGCAACTCCGTGCAAAGTTCCGAGGTTTCTCACCCTCCAGCCCAGGTTCTATGTCCTCCCTCTGTCCACCCTCAATGCCTTCCCTCCGAAGATCGGCTCGGAGTATGCCAGTCTTCCTGATATCCTGGTCTGTTGTGGAAGATGTTCTTCCTGGCTGTGTCACTGACCATCTTGGCCCCTCTCAGTTTCAAGCTTTACTATCATATCCCTCATCATCTGCCATGTGATCCTTTTGCCAGTGCCTCATATTTTAATTTCCTAACATTTGTTTCAGGCTGATTGAGAACCTACCTGGAACATTGTTTTGATTGCCAGAGGGAAAGAGAACATGGCAGAGTATGTACTAGATTTTGAAGTCATCAAAAAATAACCCACATCATTTCTCTTCACATTTTATTGGCAAATCATATTAAACAGCCAGGTCTGCATTCGATAGGACAGGGATGTGCAATTTTACCATCTGCCTAGAAGGGGAGAAAAAATAAAATATTTATAAACATTCCTAATGTATTCAATTTATGAAAAATACTCTACTTTCAAAATACTCAAGGAAATAACAAATAGGAACTTGATAATGTTTCTGCTTCTAAAATTGGCATATTCATCAAAAGATGAAACTCTCAGAGTTTGCAAAAGCTCGTGAAGCAACCATTCTCATTTGCTATATACAGTGATCTATCTGGGAATGTGGAATGTTATAAAATTTCTACAGCACAATTTGACCATATCTATTAACTCTTAGATCTTCTAAGAAATTTATAATTAGAGCCAGTAATTCAGTTTTTCAGAATATAAACTGACATTTAGACACAAATTCATATTGAATTATTGGCAGTAGTAGTAACAATAATCAAAACAAGGAGTGTAAATATGCTCAACAATAGGAAAGTGGTTAAATAGATTTTAATACACTTCCTTGGTGAAATTAAATTTGCAGCTTTTTTTTTTTTTTTTTTTTTTTTGAGATGGAGTCTCGCTCTGTCGCCCAGGCTGGAGTGCAGTGGCGCAATCTCGGCTCACTGCAAACTCCGCCTCCTGGGTTCACGCCATTCTCCTGCCTCAGCCTCCCGAGTAGCTGGGACTACAGGCGCCTGCCACCATGCCCGGCTATTTTTTTGTATTTTTAGTAGAGACGGGGTTTCACCGTGTTATCCAGGATGATCTCGATCTCCTGACCTCGTGATCCACCCGCCTCGGCCTCCCAAAGTGCTGGGATTACAGGTGTGAGCCACCATGCCCGGCCCAATTTGCAGCTATTTCAATTATGTTTTAAATACCAGAAAACATAGGAATATTTTCTGATATAATGCACACGAAAAAACGCAAACTCCGCTGGTAGTGAGTTGGGAGAAGTGCATAAAGGTAGATTGGGTAACAACAGAGATCCAGGTAAAAGGTGGATCCCTTTGTGTTCTTTCATTTTTTGTGTTTTCTGAAGATATGATCGATATAGGAAAAATGATTCCCATTAACATTTCTATAATTAGCTCTATAATTAAGGGGTCATTCCACATGCCTGAGGTAGAACTTGGGACAAATATGGAATTTGACAAAAGGGAAAAACAAGGAGAAATGCTATCCAGGGGAATAAAGAGATGAATTGAAATAGAATTTGAAATAAAACTCAACAGACATTTCTTCAGTCTCTTCTTTTTCCACTTATTTGAAATGTCATCTAAATATTATTATAGTTATATATAATATAATTGTAATTGTATATAAGATAATTATAATTATATAATATAATTATATATAATATAATAATATATAATATAATAATATATAATATAATTATATATAATATATCATTATCATAATTATATGTGATATAGAACTATATATAATATATAATTATATTACATCGTCAACCTCATCTTGCCTGGTTTTGTATTGTTTAACTGCTAAATTACTTGTAATGATGAAATGCTTTGTTTTGTAAAGCTTTCTCTGTTGCCTGAAATGTTGCCTCATCTGTGTCCTTACATTACTAACTGTAAACCATCATTTAAATGTCTCAGTTTAAGAATCATTGCCTTCTGGAACTAGCACATTTCTTCAGCAGAGGAACTGTGATATTTCTCCTCTGGACTACTGCTGTCTTGTGAACAATAAATGTTTATTGAATGACTACCACAGATAAAGAGTAAGCTAATTCAGGTCAATATGAGAAAAAAGGATTCCCATTAACATTTCTATAATTAGCTCTATAATTTAGAAAAGATGCCACATACCTGAGGTAGAACTTGGGACAAATAAGGAATTTAACAAAAGGGAAGAAAGGATAAATGCTATCCGGAGGAATAAAGAGATGAATTGAAAATAGAATTTGAAATAAAACTCAACTGACATTTAAGGTTTCCAGATTGAGATGCACACACTTAGCTGGTTTAAAACCAGCTAGATTGGTTGGGTGCAGTGGCTCATGCCTGTAATCCCAGCAATTTAGGAGGCTGAGATGGGTGGAGCACCTGAGGTCAGGAGTTCGAGACCAGCCTGGCCAACACAAAGAAACCCCGTTTCTACTAAAAATACAAAAAATTAGCTGGGCATGGTGGCGGGCATCCGTAATCCCAGCTACTTGGAAGGCTGAAGCAGGAGAATCACTTGAACCCAGGAGGTGGAGGTTGCAGTGAGCTGAGATCGTGCCATTGCATTCCAGCCTGGGCAACAAGAGTAAAATTCATTCTCAAACAAAACAAAAACAAAGCCAGCTAGATTGAAGCCAAATTACATACCAAAAACAGTTCTGAAAAGGTGCATATGATGAATTTTATCAAGAGATCAGAGGGTTCAAAGTGTTTGAAGACTTTGATTCTGATGGAATAATTTTTGGCTTGGAATAACTGGTAATTTAATTATAAGGATATTAAAATCCCTAACTAAAGGCGTAGACAGGATGGTTATAGAATAATAGTATACAAGTGGAAGGCAATCCATCAAAGTCTCCTGACTACCCTGAAGTTGATAGGAAATTGACATGACTTGTCTCAAGGAACAGAGTACATTGGGGGAACTTCTGAAAAGAAAGGAGTTTCTAACTTTGAAGACATGTCATATGGGTTCAGCATTGCTTCCTAAACAGAAGAAGACTTTTCTTTCTTTCCTTTTTTTTTTTTTTTTTTTTTTTTTTTCCTGAGACAGATTCCTACTCTGTCACCCACGCTGGAGTGAGTGGCGCGATCTGGGCTAACTGCAACTTCTGACTCCTGGGTTCAAGCGATTCTCTTGCCCCAGCCTCCTGAGTATCTGGGATTACAGGCGTGTACCACCATGCCCTGCTAATTTTTTTGTACTTTTAGTAGAGATGGGGTTTCGCCATGTTGGCCAGGCTGGTCTCGAACTCCTGACCTCATGTGATCTGCCCACCTTGGCCCCCACAAAGTACTGGGATTACAGGCGTGAACCACCGCGCCCAGCCAACAGAGGAAGGATTTTCTAATTGTTGACAGAATTTAGTGAAATCACCAGAGCCTGGAAAATAGGAAAATGAGTTCAAAGGTCATTACCATCATTGAAGATAAGGAAAGACTAAGAAGATTCTCATCACAATGGAGTACTTCTTATTTCTTACAGAAAAAGATTCTTGGCATCAGCCTCTTGAAGGCCTCCTTCATATCTTTATTTCTAAGGCTGTAGATGAGGGAGTTCAACATGGATGTGATGATTCCATAGAAGAGGGAAACCATCTTTCCCCAGTCCTTAGAGGTGGATGAAGGTGGTTGAAGATACATATAAATGGCTGTTCCATAAAAGAGGGACACCACAATCATGTGGGACCCACATGTCCCAAATGCTTTTTGCCGTCCTTCTGCTGACCTGATTTTTAATACTGCTTGAGCTATGAAGCCATAGGAGATGAGGATCAATGTCACTGGAATTAGAAGAATTAGTACACTAAAGAAGAAGAGCTCAGCCTCAATAGGCTTTGTGTCAGCACATGACAACTTGAGAAGTGCAGGCACCTCACAGAAAAAGTGGTCCACTTCCTGGTGACCACAGCGTGGCATGTTAAGAGTCAAGGAAGACTGCAGCACTGAGTTGCCGAAACCAATGAGCCATGAGAAGGCTGCCATCCTTAGGCAGAACCAATAATTCATGATGACTACATAGTGGAGGGGTCTGCAAACAGCCACATATCTGTCAAAGGACATAACAGCCAGAAGGAGACACTCTGTAGCACCTAGGGCCAGGAAGATGATGAGGTGGGCCACACAGCCAGCATAGCTGATGGTCTTTTTGTTGCAACCAATATTTACCAACATATGAGGGACTGTAGTTGTGGTATAGCAGAGATCTAAGATGGAGAGATTAGTGAGAAAGAAATACATGGGAGTATGAAGTTTGGGATCCAGAATGCACACCATCATGATGGACACATTGCCAAATATGGTGATTGTGTATGATATTAACAGGACCACAAAAAGGGGCATTTGTAGCCAAGCCCTATCTGAGAAGCCAAGTAGTATAAACTCTTTTGGGGAGCTCTCATTTTCCCAATTCATGATGACTCACTTATTTCGCACTCCTAAAAAAATGTAAGATAGGAAAGCAATCAATGTTTGTTTATTGAATACTCTTACTGGAGCTGAATTAAATTTAATGAATAGCTCAGCATCAAATACAATTTACAGTCAAGTGGATAAAGCCCTTGTAAAGTATAATATGGTTATGTTTAAGCTTAAAAGTAGTTCCTGTGTTTTCAGTAGTGTTTAAATTACTTTAAAGAAAATCATTACATTTAAATGACATAAAGTATGTAACATATGCATAACACATGGAAAATTGTGAGTTCTCAATGCATTTTATGTTCTCTCCTCTTCTTACCTCCTAACCTATCTTAATAAACAGTTTAGAAAGAAATATTACTTTTACTCCAATTATTTTAAATTTGGCCTGAAAATGCTGAGTAATATAGAGGGTATAAGAGTTGAATCTAAATCTGCAATTGATCTAAAGAAATTTTGCTTCTTTTAGTAACATCTTTACGTGTTTTTTTGAGTTGTGTCTGTCTCCTAAATGCCATGCATGTAGGTCCATTTCCACAAAGAACTACCGTGGGTATTAGTAATAAAATTATGGCTACTTGTGATATATAGTAATGACCACAGATGTCATCTCCCCATCTGCAAATACCTTAATTAAAATAGCAAAACTGATAACATAATTGTTGCTTTACTTAACATGTGCCAGAAACTGCTCAGTGTGTGAAATACATTCTTTGTAATTCTCATCAAACCCCTCACAGTCATGGTTTGCATTTTATTGCTTCTGTGATTCAGTAAGAATAAATAATTTGCACACTCATTATTGGTGAGGTCAAGACTAACACCTAGGATTTAAAGATCATTCTTTCTTTTATACCGTATTTCCCCCTAAATACACAGATAGTACAATAAGAATGACTGCATACAGCACAAAAGTGGTCATAAATTAAAATAGAAACAAACCAAAAGTCATATATTCAAGTTGATTTTCTTCAGTCTGTAAAAGTCATCAGTTATTTAGTTATATTACCTAAGTGCACCTAAGTTTCTTCAGTCTACTTTGCATGTTTAAATGAAATGTCATCGAGGTGGTTTACACCATTTGAATTTGCAAGCATAAAAATAGAAAGATAGACTGAAGAGAGAAGAGAAAATAAGTATTGACACAATTTACCACAGAATAAGATAACTTTTCCAGAGTAAAAACACTGATATATAAAGTATAATTTGATAATGGAATGAATAAATGAAAATGAACAGAGATGACCTTGAGATTTTTAACTTCTTCCATTATATATGATTTTTTTTAGCTATAGATACACATTATTTTTTGGCAAATAACAGTAATACACCTTTGGTTGAAAAATAGAAGAGAATATGAGATTAGGCTTTTTTGAATGTCCATGTAAATTTACAAAATGATAAATATGTAAGGTAATACATACATTAGATAACTTGATTTAGCCACTTTATAATGTACACATATATCAAAACATCATGTTGTACACTATAAATATATACAATTTTTACTCATTAATACAATTTTTTATATCAGAAAAAGACTACACAGAAAGATAAAACATAAATGGCAAGATAGAAAAATATACAATGTTTATGGAAAAAATGGTTATTATATTAAAATATAAATAATTATTACATAATAAATAGAAAAAGATCAAAAGTCCAATGGAAAAAAATGAGCAATGGACATAAATAAGCAGTTTGGGGAAGAAAACAACATAAAATGACAGTGAAAGTATAAAAGATTATAACTTTTTCATTATTGAAGAAACACAAATAAAAACAAGAAGAAAGTATCACATTGTCTTCCTACTTAGTAGCATTAAAAAAAATCACTGTTAAAGGTTAGCTGTTAGGTACAGTGCCTCTGGAGCCAGAATCTGCCAGGGTTTTATTACTGGATTGTGTGATCCTGGGCAATGAATGAACATTCTTGTGCTACATTAAAAAACAATCTCTGACTTGATAAAAAGAGAGTATTGTGAAGCTCAAGTGAGACAATGTATACACATCTGAACTTAGGACCCTGTCCCAAGCATACTAAGCATTTAATGAATGTGAGCTTGATATCAATAGCAGTATCATTAATACTAATCACTAATAAGTCATTAATAGTAATACTATATCATTATCTCAGCTTGTCTTGTATATGAGAAAACAGAAAATTTACTATTGGTGGTTCAAGTGATTGTTATAATTTCATAATATTATAACATGAAATTATTGAATTTCATATTATCACTTTGTCTTTGTTTCTAGCATAATATACTGAGTACATAGTTTTCCAGTAAATGGAAGTTAAATCAATGTAGTAGGTGATATCTGGTTATCTAAAGGGCATGGAATAAAAGAGGACCCTATTCAGTAGCTGTTATTTTCTACTCCTATTTTTTCACGTCCTCTTCTCTTCACATTTTATATGGCACTGATAATTTCTCTTATTTTCTTCATATTTTATATGGCGCCAATTTCTCTTTTACGTTATCAGAAAATGAACTTACCTCTTGACAAGAACATGTTGATTCCACTGTCACGTTGACTTTTTGTCCTATTTCTATTTTCTACATGAATCAAAAGAAATCTTAAATCCCACTGACCGTTTTTATGTACGGAGATATAATGAGCAAACCATTCAAAAGGGTGAAAGGATACGAAGGATTTTTGGAATCACTGAAAATACTTCATATTAATTTCAAAGTTCCCAGGAAACAAATTGGGCATTCTGATTATTTAACATGATGCAACTCAGAGGCAGGGATGTAGGTGAGATGTTCTTGAGAGATCCTTCCCACTCATGGTAATATAATACACTGTATTAGACGCCACTCACCTTTTTTCTAAATGTCCAAGAGATATTCACGCCTTTCTTTGTGCTGTGTTTCAAAGGAAGTCTGGTTCAAAGACAGATTAATAAATGCAGTTGAGTTTTTGAATTTTCAATCTTTACGACATTCTAACTCAACTACCTTTTGCCCACTGACCAAGAATGAAATTAGCATGAAACCTGGACTGCATCAAGAACATGTGAGAAAAATACTTATGAGGAGAGGAAAATGTGTATAGTTAGTGTGTCTTCAGTCATTGGGGCATTTTTGACTGACATGGGCTCTCCTCACCAGGTTCCTAGTGGATTTCTACAACGAGAAGTTGACTTTATAGACATCAACAACATTGGAAGTGTCATGGAAAGAAAGTTATGCCTTTAAATAAAGCCAACCAATATTTATTAAGGGAGTACCACTCACACAATTCTGTGTCCTCTTTTTAGCCCTAGAGATTCTAGAGTCCCTCAAGTTTAATTGGTCATTATGTCCAGAGAGTCAATAAGTCAACTCTATTCCTAACTGGGCTGGTTGCATAATACTACCACATATGTCGTTCACAAATTCTAAAACTAGGGTGAAGATTAGAGTAACAAAAATAAACAATGAAAAATAAATTTAAAGTTGTTTAATTAGGAAAGCACAAGGTTTAATGAACTTATAGCCCCAAATTCCTTTTAAATAGTTGCAAGGTCAAATAGGGAGTCCTATGATGGCGTATAGGGAAAAATGATATTTCTATTTTCACTGATTTTAGTAATAAGTGTTTGTAAACTAAAGCTACCAGAGATCTGTAGGTTAAAAATTATGTCATACAAAGTCACTTAACATATTAATATACACATTGAAATTTAAGGTTAGCATTAATTCACTGGGTCAGAACACACAGAAATTACATGAAATTGCAATAGGGGGAATAGTTTTTGAAAGAAGCAGCTGAGGGCTGGGGCGGTGGCTCACGCCTGTAATCCCAGCACTTTGGGAGGCCGAAGCGGACGGATCACCTGAGGTCAGGAGTTCAAGACCAGCCTGGCCAACATGGTGAAACCTAGTGTCTACTAAAAATACAAAAAATTAGCTGGGCATGGTGGTGGGTGCTTGTAATCTCAGCTACTCGGGAGGCAGAGGCGGGACAGGAGAATCGCTAGAACCTGGGGAGACAAGATAAGTCATTGCCCTCCAGCCTGGGCAACAAAAGCGAAACTCCATCTCCAAAAAAAAAAAGCTGATTTATGCAAGTTATGACTTAATATGTGACTTAATAAGTGCTTATCCTAAGATCTTAGTAAAATAAAGAAGTTGTAATTGAATTGAGCATCAGCCTAGATATAATCTTAAGGAAACTAATGTGCTCGTATTTTAATGTATCTATTTTTCCTCATTTTTCTTTTTGTGTAGAATATGATCATTTTCTAAATTAGGACATTTTCTTAGCCTGTGATTTTTGTAACTATATGACATCTGTTGTAGCTAATAATTTATATATAAGTTTAATAGACATATATACATACTTTCTATATGTAATATATATTTGTAATTAGTTTTCAAATACAATTTGTTGTGCTTGGATTATAATAGAAAAGTTATTTTATTTTTTGTGGTTTTACTTTTTTAAAAAAATTTTACCTTAAGTTCTGGGATACATGTGCAGAACATGCAGTATTGTTACATAGGTATATATGTGCCATGGTGGTTTGCTGCACCTATCAACCTGTCATTTAGGTTTTAAGCCCCTCATGCATTAGGTATTTGTCCTAACGCTCTCCTCCCTGTGCCGCCACCCTTCAACAGGCCCCAGTGTGTGATGTTCCCCTTCCTGTGTCCACGTGTTCTTATTTTCAACTCCCACTTATGAGTGAGAACGTGTGGTGTTTGGATTTCTGTTCCCGTGTTAGTTTGCTGAGAATGATGGTTTCCAGCTTCATCCATGTCCCGGCAAAGGACATGAACTCATTCTTTTCTATGGCTACATGGTGTATATGTACCACATTTTCTTTATCCAGTCTGTCACTGATGGGCATTTGGGTTGGTTCCAAGTCTTAGCTGTTGTAAATGGTGCTGCAATAAACATATGTGTGCATGTGTCTTTATAGTAGAATTATTTATAATCCTTTGAGTATATACCCAGTAATGTGATTGCTGGGTTAAATAGTATTTCTGGCTCTAGATCTTTGAGAAATCGCCACACTGTCTTCCACAATGGCTGAACTAATTTACATTTCCACTAACAGTGTAAAAGTGTTCCTATTTCTCCCCAGCATTGCCAACATCTGTTGTTTCCTGACTTTTTTTTTCCCAATGAAATGATTTGAATGGACACTTAAAACTGTTCATGAGTATACAAGATGATAAAGAAAACATTTATTAAATGAATAAAAGCTAAAAAGTGAAATGTTACAAGCAAATATCAAATATCCCGAATCTCTAGAATTTTATTGTTGAATATGCCTTAGTTATTACAAGTGGTCTTTATTCTTGGTGACTTAGGGATTCCCAAGAAATGTGCAATCACTCCTGGCAACTCAAAGTAGTAATAAGTTAACCTCAAGAGAACAATCTTGGTTAAAAAAAAATTTTAAGTGTATTTTATAAATTATTATTATTTTTATTTTACTTTAAGTTCTGGGATATATGTGTAGAACGTGCAGGTTTGTTACATAGGTATACATGTGCCATAATGGTTTGCTGCACCTATCAACCTGTCATCTTTAAGCCCTGCATGCATTAGGTATTTGTCCTAATGCTCTCCCTCCCCTTGCCCCCCACCCCCTGACAGGCCCCGGTGTGTAAAGTTCCCCTCCCTGTGTCCATGTGTGCTCATTGTTCAACTCTCACTTATGAGTGAGAACATGAGGTGTTTGGTTTTCTGTTCCTGTGTTAGTTTGCTGAGAATGATGGCTTCCAGCTTCATCCGTATCCCTGCAAAGGACGTGAACTCATTCTTTTTTATGGCTACATAGTATTCCATGCTGTATAATTGTATTAATAGCACATCCAGGGGTGCAGCATTGCTACATGTCTTCTCTATCCAGGCACACTGATCGATCAGGGTAATTTATTTATTCATTGTTTGCAAGGTTCTATGCCAGCCAGCCAGTGCCAAGGACTTCAGAGATAAGCCACAATACCTGCCTATGTGTCTGGTTGGAACATGAACATGGAAACAAACCATTTAATCATTTACTCAATAAATCTTTATGTCATGGTGATAAGTGTCAGGCACTGTCATGTGCACAGGAGATATATTGATAATCAAAAGAAATAAAGTCTCTGTTCTAATGAAGCTTACATACTAGTAAGGAGATAGAAAACTAATAATAAGTAAATAGATATATAATACAATGTCAGATAGTGATAAATGCTATGAAGAAAAAGAAAGCAGGGTAAGAGAATCAAAATTAGCTGAGGCTGTTACTTTAGACAGCATGGTCAGTCAGTTTCTGTGAGGGGGCAACATTTGACCTGAACAGAGTTAGGGGTTCTCATTCACTTGGAAGATTCTAAACTGAGATTTCGAGTTTGAATTTTTTTTGAAATGTTGCCAGTTAATGCATCAATAATTTATCAGCCGGTGTTCATTATATAACGTTATACTTTAACAAGGACACTAAGCACTAAACTATTTAAAGATCTTCGTCTTTACAAAGGTACTACAAAGGAAACTACAAAGACTGTAGTTTCTGAAGTTAAGAAATGCAGACCGATCCTTTGTTTCTGCATTCATCCATTTGCATTGCTATAAAGGAATACCTAAGACTGGGTAATTTACAAAGAAAAAAGGTTTATTTTGGCTCACAGTTGTTTCCTGACTTTTTAATAATATATATATTTTATATATATTATATATATATATATATTTTTTTATCATTGGGATTAAATTTTGGCCTGGTGTTCACTTTCTTTATATATTTATGAACAATTTAATAATGAGGTGAAATAGCCTTAAGTCTGATATATGATGCACCCACATATAAATGGAAATGGCATGCACAAAGACACTTTACTATTGGAACTGTATTGGAAAATTTATGAAATTTTAGGTAAAATTGCACCTAAAATTGTGTTATTAGTGACTGTAAGTAGCAATGCTAAATTTATTGTACTTGATGAATGAATGTATTTAGGCTAGTCATGGTTACTTTGGTTTAAATGTCTAAATAACATCTTTAGTTTTAAAAATGTGTTTGTAATTTGTACTATTGACAGGAGGATATTCTTGGACTGCAGCGGTTATTGGCAATGTGTGATTTGTGTTTTCTTACTTTATAGAATTATCTAATGTGATATGCTGATTTTTACAGGTAATATTTAGATATTTCCAATAATTGTATATTTGACAACCTACTAAAATGATTTGCTTTGGGAAAAAACTGAAAAACAATACTCAAACATAGGCTGCCTGTAAGAGGCTAACTTTAACTTAAAGAACACACATTGACTGAAAAAAATATTTCATGCAAGTAGAAACCAAAAGACAGCAGGGGTAGCTCTACTTATATTAGACAGACTTTAAGTCCAAAACTGTAAAAAGAGACAGAGAAAGTCATTACATGATAAAAGGGTCAATTCATCAAAAGGACGTAACAATTGTAAATATATATACACCTAATACTAGATCATCTAAATGTATAAAGAAAGTATTAATAGACCTAAAAAGAAACAGACTGCAATACAGTAATAGCAGGGTTTTTCAACACTTCACTTTCAACAATGAACATGTCATCTAGACAGAAATCAATAAGGAAACACTGGACTTGAAACGCACATTAGATCAAATGGACCTAACAGACATATATAGAACATTCCATCCAACAGCAACAGAATACTCATTCTTCTCAAGTGCAAATGGGACATTATCCAGGATCAAATATTAGGGAACAAAATAAGTCTCCACAGTTTTAAGAAGATCGAAATCATATCAAGTATCTTTTCTGACCACAAAGTTATGAAAGTAGAAGTGAATAATAGGAGAAAATTTAAAATATTTACAAACGTGGAAATTAAACAACATGCTCCTGAATAAACAATGGGTTAAATAAAAAATCAAAAGCAAAATTAAAAAAAATCTTAAGACAGATGAAAATGAAAACACAACATACCACAACTTATGGCATGTAGCAAAAGAAGATATTAGCAAGAGGAATGTTTGTAGTAATAAATGCCTATATTAAAAAAGAAGAAAGATCCCAAACAACCTAATGTTACATTTCAAGAAACCAGAAAAAGAGAAGAGCAAACTAATCCCAAAGTTAGCAGAAGGAAGGAAATAACAAAGATCAGAGCAGAAATAAATAAGAAGCTAGAAAACAATAGAATGCATTCACAAAACTAAGACTTGAATTTTTGAAAAGATAAAAACAATTGGCAAAACTTGAGTAGACCAACTAAGAAGAAAAGAAGACTCTAATAAAGTCAAAAATGAAAGAGGAGACATTACAATTGATACTACAGAAGTACAAAAGCTCATAAAAGAATACTATGAACAATTTTACACCAACGAATAGGGTAACCTAGAAGAAATGGTTAAATTTCTAGAAACATAACAAAAATGAATCATGAAAAAAACAGAAAATCTGAACAGACTAATAATGAGTAAGGAGGTTGAATCAGTAATAAAAGTCTTCTACCAAACAAAAACCCAGAATATGATGGATTTTGCATTCATGGTTTGGAAGAATTAATATTATTAAAATATGTGTACTACCTAAAGTGATACACAGATTCAGTGCAATTTCTATAAAAGTTCAATGACTTTTTTGTTTCACAGAAATAGAAAAAGCAATTTAAAAATTCATATGGAATGACAAAAACCCCTAAGTAGCTGAAGCACTTTTGAGCAAAAAGAGCAAAGCTGGAGGCATCACACTACCTGTTTCAAAATATATTACACAGTTATAGTATTCAAAACAGAAAGGTAGTGGCATAACAACAGACACACGGACCAATGTAATGTGATAGAGAGCCCAGAGATAAACTCATGCATTTGTGGTTAACTGATTTTTGCCAAAGATGCCAAGAATGAACACACTATGGAGAAAGGGCAGTATCTTTAATAAATGATGCTGGGAAAATCAAATACCCAAATACAGAACAATGAAATTGAAACCTTATTTCACACCATATGCAAAAATCCTCTAAAAATGGTTTAAAGATTTAAATGTGTGACCAGAAAATGTAAAATTACTAGAAGAAAACATAGGGAAAAATGTTCTTGAAATTAATCTTGGCAATAATTTATTGGTGATGATCTCAATAGCACAGGAAACCAAAGCAGAAATAGACAAATGGGATTACCTCAAACCAAAAACCTTCTGTATAACAAAGTAAATAACGGATTGAAGAGACAACCCATGGACTGGGAGAAAATATTTACAAACCATACATGGCTAATATCCAAAATATGTAAGAAATGCAAACAACTTAAATTTGTTAGCAAGAAAACAAAGAACCCCTTTTAAAACTGAGCAAAACACTTAATGGACATCTTTCAAAAGATGACATAAAAGACTAACAGATACATAACAAAATTTCTCAACATCAAGGAAATACAAATTAAAACCACAATAAGATATCACCTCATACCTGTTAGAATGGCTATATCAATAAAATAAGAGTTAATAAGTATTAGCAAGGATGTGGAGAAGGGAATCCTTATATACTAATGGTAGTAATGTAAATTAATACAGCCATTATTGAAATCAGCATGGAGGTTCCTCAAAAAAAGATAGAATTACCATATGATCCAGCAACTATATTTCTGAGTACATAGCCAAAGAGATTGAAATTAATATGTTAAAAATATATTGGTAGATTTTCCTCTAATTTGGTCTTAACGTCTCTCTTTGAAGAGGAGCCAGAAACTCTAGCCCTGCTCTGATGGGCTCCAGTGGAGGTGGTTGTGGTTGTGGATGTTTTCAGTGTTTTTTTCGTGGAATACTTCTATATCCTGATGGAGAGCTAATGCCTAATTGTCCTATTTATGACCAGGTGTCCCTCTCACTGGAAACTCATTTTCACTGGCAGACACCCTTGTGGCTCTTGTCTGACTAGTGTGTCCAGTTCATTCCTACCAAGATAACCACTCTTTAAGAGAGCCTTGTCCAGAAAAGAAGTTAATTTCACGTATGTCAGTCACGCGAGACGCAAGTAAAAAAAAACACGTAATAGAAGTAGTTTTATTACTTAAAGATCCAGAGAGAAGAAGGAAACTTTCCTCACAGGCCTAACGGGAGAAGGGGCAGCCCTCAGAGACATGCATGCTCAACCAGTGGGTGGGTAGCAAGGGAGAGTGAGTGACAGCCGAGAAGGCCGAAGCCTTTACTGGGGTACACAGCATTTCCTAAGCAGGGAGTAACTGATTGCTGGGTTTAAAGCAAGCAGGCATGAGTTCTTGGGAGTTATGTTGTATTGAGAGGTGTTCACTACTGCAAGTCTGCAGTCCATGTGGGGTGTGGGGATCAGTGGGATAAGTCAAACAGGTTGTATCTAGGTGCTCCACAGGAAGGTGGAAACCAAGAGGCCAAATATCTGGATTGACCACCTGAAGAAACTGGGAGAGGAGAACTCGAAATTGTGTTAAGGGTGACTAAGCCCTGCTTCTGGTATGAGAAAGTTCAACTTATATTGAAAATAAACACTGAGGCAACATAAAATCATAAGAATTCACTACAGATATTTGCACTACCATGTTCATTGTAGCATTATTCACAATAGCTGAGATATGGAAGGAACTTAAATGCCCATCAATGGATAAACAGATAAATATATAAAAGGGATATAATGTGATATATATGAGCCACATTATCTATATAAAATGGAATACTATCCAGCCTTAAAGAAAAAAGGAAATTCTGTCTTTTCAACAACATTCATGAACCTGCAGGACATTATGCAAAGTGAAAGAAGCCAGACACAGAAAGACAAATACCACGTGATCTCACTCATATGTGGAATCTAAAAAAGATAAACTCATGCAAGTGGAGAGTAGAATATAGCTACCTTGGGGGTAGGGGATGGGGAAAGGGGAGATTTTAAACACAAGATATTTTTTAACCTTTTGCAGGAAAAATCTTGGAATTGAATTTAAAAGACAACTGGGATGGCATAAATAATATAGGTCAGTCTCAAAGAGCACGTCATTAGTAAGGAATAGATATACAGTTTAGTCTTTATGTATTCTAGTTTTTCAGTTGAATGGCTCTGAAATCACTCCTTTTTTCCAGTTGTCTTGTAAATTTTACCCTTAGCCCCATGGAAAACTGAAAAAAAATCACATGGCTCAGTAAAACCCATTCCCTTTATTGTAAATATAACTCACAGCATCTTTTCCCATATTTGTAAGTGATAAATTCACTGTCATCACAGTAAGACTATAACATCATACTGAAGATATTTCTGTGAAGAGTTTTGTACTGAGAACACCACACCAGGACAACTTGAAGGGCATTAATTGCAACTTTGGGATTTATACTCCCAAAGGCCCCAGTCAATGAAAGAGTATCCCATTATTCTTTTTGGTTCCATAAAGATTCCATTTACTCTGGGATAAAGGGTCCATCCCCTGATACCTTGAATGCTCTAAAGTATTCCCACATTCTGCTAAAAAGCAGATCTTTTGGACAAACTCAGGCTCTCTTTTCTGTAGCAATGACAATCACAGTTATTTCCAGACTCTGTTCTCCATAGTTAGATTTAAAACATTGGCAAAAATGTTATAAGAAGGCAATTAGGTTGATGTTTCTAGGTTGCATGGCAACCAGAGAGCCCCTTCATCAGTTTATACATGATGAGGTCGTAGGCCAGGTAGAGAGTGACAGGGAACAGGGACAAACACAGGAAGGTCAGTACTGAAAGAAGTTGGCGCACTTCTTAAGGGGTGTACAGCTTCTGTATTTCAAAATTGCAGGAAGTGTAGATTTTAAATGTTCTTACTACAAAAAAATGATGTGTGTGAGGTGATAGGTACATTAACTAGCTTAATATAATCATTCTATGATGTATATACATATCAAAACATTACAATGTACTCCATACATATATACAATTATTACTAGTCAATGAAAAAGTAAGAAAACAAACCAGATATAGTATAAAGGAATGAATATGACACGAATTGGGAAAATGTCTCTTAGTAATAATTGGGGAAAGAAGAGACACTCAGCCATCCATTTTCCCTACAGTGTTTGATTTAAAAGAAGAGAGAAGATATTTTATTCCATAGTTCATAAAAGCTACATTTGATAGGGTCTTCATTTCCCTCTTTTCCTCCAAGAAGAAAATCGAAGCTGCAAACTTTTCTCTACGTGAGTTCTGGGTTTTTTTTTTTTTTTGTCCCTTATTTCCTATCCTTTTTATCGACTCTGGAAGAATGCTGAAAGATGGTTTATACAACAGAAAAATATCAGATTTCACCTTTTAATTACTGTAGTAAGGAAGTCAGGCAGCTGCATTAGGAAAGAAAATTATACCTGCATTAGCAAAAGTATCCACAACATTTGAGTTCAAGTATCTTACAGAATATTACCTTTCAACCTAGCGAAATTTTTAAAAAAATTCTTGCAATTTTTCCATGATTTCTCAAAAGGTAATGATCATTTCATTATCAACAATATGGAAAAGTGTACAGATATCTTTGTACCTGTCTGGAGCATCTGCACAGACTTGGCCCAAGTTCAACGTTCCTAGCTCTCCAGCTGTAACTCAACTAATTAGGCAAACCCTTACATCTTTTTCAAGAGTCAAGATTAGAATATTTGAGTTGTTAAAAGTTTTTCAAAACACTGAAGGTGAGTTGGGTGTAAATAAATTTGTCTTTTGTCATATTTTATCAGAGAGTATGAGAGGAAGAGTTGGCTGTGGCAGGAGGGGAGCAGAAGGGGGATGGCAATGCTATTTAGGAATATTGAAGAAAACCCAGAAATACAAATTATAAGTTGTGACTCAGAATTTAAAGTATAGTTCAGTTATTGGCCTAAAGCATATAAAATTTTTTAGAAACCACATTTAAGTCTTCTTGTCCCTGTCTAACAATCCTGTGTTATACATTCTTTCAATTTCAAATGCCACATTCTGACCTCCTCTTCACTGTTGTGCCTCAAAGCACTCTTCCTTTCTCTCTTACACCTCCCGGTGTTTTTGTTAGACTCTGTAATCTTTCTGTCTTCCAATAATAATTATACCCCCATGTAACTTTGGAAGCACTCTATCACTGATATCTCTACTCTATTTCACTTTATTAATCAGCTTTGCTTATATTGTGAATTTTTATAAGTTGGTGTGTGTGTGCATGTCTGTTTAAACCTTCATTTGCATGTTATTTTATTCGTCTAGAAATAAACTGCTAGCATAAATAAATGAATATCATTTAATTCTTTCTATAATCATATCCAATTATTTCTTTTCAGTTCATATTAATATTTTAAAGTGACTACCTAATTGCTCTTTAACATGGGAAGTTCCTATCTATAAGTAAGATTATTATGGCTGCAGTTATTCCTTTCTCTGTAACTGCAAAATTGGAAATAGTCTGAAAATGCAAAAAAAAATCAATTTAACTTTTTAAAATAAAAAATTATTTTCTTAAATATTGTCTTTCTGATTATGGAATATCTTAGTCTTCATTTATCCAAATGTTAACTCAAGGATGTATATAAAAGAACTCAGTAACTTGAAAAGCTATTACTTGTATCCACAGCTGGACAAATATCTCAATGAAGCATACAAAGGAAACTGTATAAAAATTCTACTGCCATAATGGTGCACACTATCTGGAATTGGGATACTTTTTTCTCCAATCTGTTTGCAAGTGAGCAGTTGGCAATGCATGGACAGACTTTGAGTTTATGCGATTCTTTCTTTAGGTACAGGAAAAATAAGAATGTTGATGAAAAAAAATGCAAGTTTTGAAGACTTCTTTATTCTACTTGGATTTTCTAACTGGCCTCATCTGGAAGTAGTTCTCTTTGTGGTTATCTTGATCTTCTACTTGATAACACTGATAGGAAACCTGTTCATCATCATCCTGTCATACCTGGACTCCCATCTCCACACTCCCATGTACTTCTTCCTTTCAAATCTCTCATTTCTGGATCTCTGCTACACCACCAGCTCTATCCCTCAGTTGCTGGTGAATCTCTGGGGCCCGGAAAAGACCATCTCTTATGCTGGTTGTACAGTTCAACTTTACTTTGTTCTCGCACTGGGAACCGCAGAGTGTGTCCTACTGGTGGTGATGTCCTATGATCGTTATGCAGCTGTGTGTAGACCTTTGCATTACACTGTCCTCATGCACCCTCGTTTCTGCCGCTTGTTGGCTGCGGCTTCTTGGGTAAGTGGTTTTACAACCTCAGCACTTCATTCCTCCTTTACTTTCTGGATACCCCTATGTAGACATCGCCTAGTGGATCACTTCTTCTGTGAAGCTCCAGCACTTCTGCGATTATCATGTGTTGATACCTAGGCAAATGAGCTGACCCTCATGGTCATGAGCTCCATTTTTGTTCTCATACCTCTCATCCTCATCCTCACTTCCTATGGTGCCATTGCCCGGGCTGTACTGAGCATGCAATCAACCACTGGGCTTCAGAAAGTGCTTAGGACATGTGGAGCCCATCTTATGGTTGTATCTCTCTTTTTCATTCCAGTCATGTGCATGTATCTCCAGCCACCATCAGAAAATTCTCAAGATCAAGGCAAGTTCATTGCCCTCTTTTACACTGTTGTCACACCTAGTCTTAACCCTCTAATCTACACTTTCAGAAACAAGGATGTAAGAGGGGCAGTGAAGAGACTAATGGGGTGGGAATGGGGGATGTGACAGGGAAATCATGTTGGCTGTTGTTTTTCCTAGGGTCTTATCCATTTTGAAAGGTTGTTTCCCTGCTTCTTTGTGATTTGTGTTTCATCTAACAGCTCACAAAACATGGAATAGTTCAGTTCCCCCATTTGTTGCTCTGTTTAATATTTAGTTCTGAAATATTATGTTGAGATAAAGGTTTTGATTAGTACCATTTTGTTCTTTTACAATTCTATATTTATTTCCATGAAAATTGTGGACTGTGGTTTCAACATAAATAAATGTGTGTGTGAATAATTATGAGGAGATTATTTAAAAAATATTGGCAATATTTCTGACAATGTGCTAAATTATGAACTGACCATTGATATGTATAGGAAGAGAAGGGCAATATTGCAAAGATGTAGGCTGAAGAAGTTTTTGGTTATTAAATAAACCTTAAATGAAGCTAAAAATAGTCACAGCAAAGAAAAATAGTAAACATAATGAATAACACCATTTATTATATGGTAAAGGATATGTCATAATTTTTTGGTTGAAGTTCACTTTTTAAAGACACTAAATTATATAATTTATCCTGTAGGTCTGCATTCTTGTCACATTGAACAGTAAACTAATATCTCTTTAAAATGGCTGATTCGTTCATCTGTCCATTTATTCATTAACTTATTCTTCATTAGCTAAATCTTACTGGACATGTACTCTCTCCCAGTTTGTGAAATTCTTGGTAACATGTATAAATATAACATACTTTGTCTGAACAGAATGCACTCTCTATCGGGAAAAATGGCAACATAAGATAAAAGATGAAGTATCTGTACATGGCTTAATTTGTCACTGGGGTTAATGCTAATAAATTAAGATAGCTTTTAAAAATCAGAAACAATATACTCTGATTACTCTTCAGATTGTATACATCTTTCACTTTTTAAAAATCGAAAGCAAAACAATAAGTTTGATAATAAACTCTGATAATAAATTCATAGCTCCTGTAGGAAGACAGTGCTATTAAATGAAACAAAGCAGAATATGTGCTTAATTTGCTTTAGTTGGCCTAGTTAATGACATATTAAAGATAGCTTAAAACTCTTAACATCCTTGTTCTTTGCTGAATAGCATTATTAAAAAAATTTCTTTATTTTGATTTTATTTTTTCCAGCTTTACTGAGGCACAAATAAAATAACATATATTTAATGTGCACAATGTGATTATATATAAATCAAACCAAATTGTGAAATTATTACCACAGTCAAATTAACACATCCATCATCTCACATCGTTACTGTGTGTAGGGGGAGCGGGGAGGGTCAGGACACTTAAGATCTAATCTCTAAGCAAATTTCAAGTATACAGTACAGTATTATTAACTATAGTCACCATAATCTACATTAGATCTCCAGAATGTATTCATCTTATGACAGAAAGTTTGTACAATTTGGCTGTCTCTCCACTTCCCACCCTCCAGCCCATGGCAACCACCATTCTATTCTCTGCTTCTATGGGTTCAGTTTTTTTATTTTTTTGATACACGGTCTCACTCTGTCACACAGGCTGGAGTGCAGTGGTGCGATCTTGGCTCACTGCAACCTCTGCCTCCCGGCTTCAAGCAACTCTCCTGCCTCAGCCTCCCCAGTAGCTGGGACTACAGGCACCCGCCACCACGCCCAGCTAATTTTTGTATTTTAGTAGAAACTAGTTCTCACCATGTTGGCCAGGCTGGTCTTGAACCCCTGACCTGAAATGATCCACCTGCCTTGGCCTCCCAAAGTGCTGGGATGACAGGCGTGAGCCACTGTTCCTATCCGAGTTCAATTTTTTTAGATTCCACATGTAAGTGTTATCATACATCTTTTGTCTTTCTGTGTGTGGTTTATTTCACTTAGCACAATATCCTCCAGTTCATCCATGTTATAACAAATGGCAGGATTTTCTTTTTATTGGCTGAATAATATTTCTCGCTGTGTGTGTGTGTGTGTGTGTGTATGAGATCACATTTTCTTTATCCATTCCTCCATCAATGGATGCTTAGGTTGTTTCTTCATCTTGGCTGTCATGAATAGTGCTGCAATGAACATGGGGGCATAGATACCTCTTCGGAATACTTACTTCATTTTTCTTGGATAAGTACCCAGTGGGATTATTGGGATCACATCACATCTCACACAGACTTCACAAAATATGAGAACATAGATTCCTCCTGCCTCCGTGGAAATCTTACCATTTGTAATATGTCATGTGTCACTCCAGCTTCTCAAGATCTACAAGACTCTTTTCTTTTCAAATTTATTGAAGTATAATTTATGTACAAAGAAATCTACACATTTTAAGTATATAGTTCAATGAATTTTTTTATATTTTCTTTTTATTGTATTTTTGTTAGACATCAAATATTGGATTTAATAAGCTATCGGAAAAAGTGTATAATTATAATCCTTTATACTGTAACAGTACTACACAACTTATAAAGCACATTAATATATTTTGTTTCATTAGAATTTTGGTCATCATAGAAACCCTAAAGCTTTGTTGACTATTAGCCTCTTGAAACAAAAGAAAAATAAGATATAAACATTATTGTTCCTATGTTAAAGATTAGGAAATTGAGTCTCAGAGAGATTAAGTAGTCTTGTCTAAATGCACGCACTAACAAATGGCAAATTTGAGTCTCAAAGACAGGTTTCTCAATATCAAATTGAAAGAATAGTTCAGTGAGTTTGACAAATGTATAATTGTGTAAATGCCACCACAATCAAGATTATAGGACATTTCTATTACTCCCCAAAGAACTTCCGTTTTGTAGTCAACTTTCCCCTTTTAGTCATAGCCTGAGGCAGCATTAATTTTCTCTAAATGTACTTGGTTTTTCCCACTTTTAGAATTTCAAATAATTGCAATCATGCAGTGTGTAATCTTTGGGTGTGGCTTGTTTCATTTAGCATGATGTTTTTGACATTTATTATGTTGCCACATGTATCAGTTACTTTTTCCTTTTTATTGCTTGTTAGAACTCCATTGTACGAATGTGCGACAATTTATCCATTTATCTGTGAAGGGCTTTGGGAGTATTTAAAATTTTTGGCTATTATGAATAATGCTGCTATGAAAATTTGTATACAAGTGTTTGTGTGGATGCATGTTTTCACTTAATTTGGGTAAATACCTTTTATTTGTACCTCTCCAGGAGGACCACATGCTTAGTGTATATTATCTTTATGAGATACTGCAAAAATGTTTTCAAGTGGCTGTTCTATTTTCACTTCAAACAGCAGTGTATGAGAGTTCCAAATGAACT
Organism: Homo sapiens; assembly: GCF_000001405.40. Lineage (NCBI taxonomy): Eukaryota > Metazoa > Chordata > Mammalia > Primates > Hominidae > Homo > Homo sapiens. The sequence goes on from NT_167245.2 coordinate 370,762, forward strand.
CACATTCTTTCTAATACTTGGTATTGTCAGTTTTTATACTTTTCACCTCTCAAGTTAGGTTACCTGTGGCTATAATTTGCATTGAGGGGTGTTGACATTGACCATCCTCTTGTGTGCTTTTCATATGCTTCATATATGTTATTTTGTGTAGCTTCTGTTCAGATATTTTACTCACTTTAAAAATTGGGTCATTTGTCTTCTTATTGTTGAATTTGAAGTTCTTTGTATACTCTGAACTCAAGTCCTTGGTCAAACAAATCTTTTGCAAATAGAATACTGTCATATCTTTCAAAGAGAAAAATTTTAACTTTAATAAAATACAGTGTGTCATTTCCACAGAAAAAGCCTGGTGGCATTTTGATTGGGGATTGCATTGAATTTATAGACCAATTGGAGAAGAACTGGCAACTTGACAACATTGACTTTTCTGATCTGGGGACATGATATAGATCTCCATTTACTTACATCTTATTTTCTTTCAGAAGCATTTGAGGTTTTCATTGTATAGCTATTGTCCATATTTTGTTAAAGTCACCTCTATGTATTTCATGTTTTTAGATACCACTATAAATTGTATAGAAATATGACTGATTTTTTTCCATCGTCTGTTTTATTTTATTTTATTATTATTTAAGTTCTAGGGTACATGTGAACAACGTGCAGGTTTGTTACGTAGGTATACATGTGCCATGTTGGTTTGCTGCATCCATCAATTAATCATTTACATTAGGTATTTCTCCTAATGCTATCCCTCCCGCATCCCCCCCACCGCCCCCACAGGCCCTGGTGTATGATGTTTCCCCCCAGGTCCAACTGTTCTCATTGTTCAATGCCCACCTATGCGTGAGAACATGTGGTGTTTGGTTTTCTGTTCTTGTGATAGTTTGCTGAGAATGATGGCTTCCAGCTTCATCCATGTCCCTGCAAAGGACATGAACACATCCTTTTCGATGGCTGCATAGTACTCCATGTTGTATATGTGAATTTTCTAGGCCTTAACTCCAACTGAGCTTCCCATCTACAATGCTTTAATAGTTTGTGATCTACTCTAATTCACATTCCTCCCATACAAAGCACTCAAATTAACAGAAGCTCAACAGAGATCATTTAGTGTCTTTTATTCCTTTTGATTCCTCAGATGTGACTTTCAATGTGTTTTATTTATCTGAGTGTGTATTGTAGAGAAAAAAGTTGAGGGTTGCTTCCTTAGAAATACTTTGCTGTAATTAAATCATGTTATGCCAGCTGTATTTTCACAAGTTACTAACATCACACCTAAAAATGTTAACATTTGCTGGCACCCAGTAGATTGGCAGGGGCCAAAAACTCTCCTACAATTCTAGTTACCAAAACATGAAAAATATTGGAGCTTGGTACAATCTCCTACAGACCAGGATATCAGACATTTCCTGGATTTTGATAACTGATTGAATTCTGCTAGTCCCCACAGGTTGTAGGATCACTGGTCAAATTCCTCTCCAATAAGATAGAGAAGTTTAGACATATGATTATATGACTATTTAATCATATTTATCTTAAAAATAATATTTAATATATTTTAAAGTAAACTGGAATGATATATACCAAGCTCATGGTAGTTGTCTCTGGATTTAGTGTTGGGTCAGAGAGTGACAGTTGAAGGGGATATGAACTTTATCTGTGATACTTTATGTGCTAAAAATTCTGAAAATAAAAATGACAAAAGTTATGGTTGATGATTCTGAATGATGGGAACATAAGGGTTTATTTTTAATATTTTAAATATCTAAAATAAAGGATGAAGAAATAATATAGAATGACTTGTTAAAATATCACTTCAAATTAAAATTCACTATAATGGTAATAGCAGCTAACATGTATTGAATGATTATGCACTAGGCATCGAGGATAATGTTTACGTATTTTTCACATGGAGTTTTCACAACAATCAAGACTACTGAAGCCAAGACTGTTTTCAGTTGCTTCACATAAGTGGACAGGAAAATACCTGATCATGCTCTTAAAAGTACTGACTTTAAAATATAATTGTATTGTAAATGTGACTTGATTTTCATACCAAGACTTTGTCTGGTACACATGGAATATATCACCTAGACACAATGTAACAATTGAAAAATCTTCATTAGTTTATAAACTCACGATGTGCTTTTTTTTTTAAACATGGGATGTAGGCTAGCTATCACAGCTAATTTAGCTTTTTTATATATTTCTGCAAAGCTTTTAACAAGACATCAAAAGAAATTATTGATAACAATATTTTGGAAATATTAAATAATTTTGTTAAAAGTTTTCTGAGTTTGGTAGTGACCTTCTGAGTATAGTTTGAATGGTCTTCAAAGGTAATTTTTAACACTTTTGCAGGGCTGAACTTGGCCTTGAATTTTAGAGATGTTAGACACAATTAAAAATTCAAATTAATAAAACAAATATGTATAATGTAGTCATTATATTTCCTTTTAAAAAATGTTTCATGCCTTTTCCCATTCCCAAATTAGACTACCTAACAAGCTATATCTCAAATTTGGCCTCTAGCATACTGAAGAATTGGGGAAGAGGTTTCAGGTAACTCAAGATAACCCATTCCCTTCCCTGCAGATACAGCTCAAAGTATTTTTCTCTGCTATGGCTGGACTATAGATTCCTTGTCATCCTCGTACAACAATGTGGCATCATGCCAAGAACATCACTGAGAAACTGTTCTAACCAGGATAACTCCTTGAAGGGCATTAATTGCTACTTTGGGATTTACCCTCCCAGTGGCCCAAGTCAAGGAAAGCAAGTCACATTCTTTTGTTTCCAAAAAGGGCCCATTGACTCTAAGATAAAGACCCATCCCTTGATACACTGAAAGCTCTAATAAGTTTATCTTTTGGGTAAAACTAAATTTTTTTAGTAGACTCAGAGCTTTCTCTTCTGTAGCAATGATAGTCATAGCTACATTCAGACTGTTTTCCTAATTGATGTAGTAGATGAGGGAAGTGTAGGCATTTATGTTGGTGATTTCAAGGTGATCAAAATCAGAGATCAGATCAGTCTGTGCATGATGAGGGCATCAGCTAGGAAGACAATATACAGGGAATGTGGACAGATACAGGAAGGACAGAGTGAAAGGCATTGTTTGAGTACTGCTTAAGTACTAGGTAATATATAAAGAAATATTATGGTAAGAATAAAAAAACTTGGCCAGTGACATGGGGATGGGGAAAAGAGATTATTTTCTCCCTCCGTTATACCTGATTTCCAAAACTAGAGAGGATCACTTATTCCTAGTCCATGAAAGCAACTTTTAACTTTTAATTTTTGTGGGTACACAATAGGTGTATGCATTTATGGGGTACATGAGATTTTTTTTGATAATTTCTTTCTTTTTATTTTTTGTAGAGACATGGTCTCACTTCATTGCCCAGGCTAGTCTCGAACTTCTGGGCTCCAGAGATCCGCCCACCTTGGCCTCCCAAAGTGTCAGGATTACAGGTGTGAGCCACGGCACCCGACCCAGGTATTTTTGATACAGGCATACAATGTGTAATAATCACAGCAGGCTAAATGGGGTATCCATCACCTCAAGCATTTATCCTTTCTTTGTGTTAAGGATAACTTAAACTTTTGATATGGCTTTTGATAAGGCTTTTAACTTTTGATAAGGCTTTTATTTTCTGCTCCACCAGGAAGAAGAAAATTAACCCAGAAAAATTCCTACCTTTTCCTTGCTTGCATCTGGTAAGTTTTTGTTTGTTTGCTTCTTATCTCATATCTCATTCTAACCTCTCTATGTAAGATTGCTCAAAGATGGGTCATGCAATTGGCAAAGGTATCTCACAGCTAAATGTTGTTTTAGTTAATGTAATAAATTATCGAGGCAACTGTACAAGAAAGAAGAAAATTTTATCTGCATGAGAGAAGGTAACTATAACATTTGTGTTCATATTTCTCATGATGTATTATCTCCTATTCTAGAGAAATTTTTAAAAATCTCTTGGAAAATTTTCATCTTCCCTCAAGGGCTGTGACCTCTAAGTCAAGTAATCTTCATGATTTACTCTTTGACTATTGCTGCTTTTTGATTCAGCTATAGCTTTTAAAATTTTCTTTTAAAACAATGTGCAGACTGATTTTCCTGGATGGTTGTTTAAGTTGTTGAAAGTAATCTAGATTAGTGTAACAACTGGCTAATGATTATTTACATTACCAAGTCTGTTAAAAGGTCTGAGGTCAATCTTTTAATCTTGGGACCAAACTGAATGTTCCAAACTTTTCTGCTGAAACTCAACCAATTAGCTACTCCTGACATTTCTTTCAGGCATTGAATTTATAAAACATGAGCGATTAAGAGACCCCTAAAAGAGGCAATCACAGGTGGCCCCACAATGATTTCTTTCTTCCTGTGCCATAGCCAATTGGGAGGTATAAGAAAAATAACCGACTGTGGAAGGAATGAAATAGAGGGCATGTGGCAAAGCTGGAAGAGGCAAAGAATTCAGAGAAAATGGGGTATTTAAATGGTGGGTTGCTATGCCTGACACAATAACTATATAACAAAAATAAGTATCATTTTTTTCTATGAAAGATTGAAAACTCACTGGAGAAAAAGCATCACCTAGGAGTCATAACTATTTGTAAGATATATTTTATTTTTAACAAAAAAAGTAACATGAGATTCACTGGGCACAATGTATTAAATGATGAACAGCCACTTAATGATTCATTAAATATTCAGAACTCTCTAACTTGGAGAATAAATATGTACTAATTATAGCTCATGCTCAGAATTTATATACTATCTAAATTATTGTCCTGGAGAAAAATACATCATGTAGAAACCTTCTTCAGGCCCTGTGGTTCAGCTTCTTGAACCCTGTGATAGACACACCTGCAACTCTAAGAACTACACTCAGGTTCTCCTCCATTTTCCTGCCCCTCCCACTTTTCCTTCCTTCTCTGTTCTCTCACTGAATTTTTATCTTCCTTTCCTTTCTGTAAAGTTTGAATCTTTTCAAATTCAGTTGTAGTCACACATCCTTTAGAAAGCATTCTATCACTGTTCTCCCCAGATTTTTAGCTTAGTTCGTATCATGAATACCCATATATTGATGAGCAAGTGTCTGTGTCTTCTCTACTTGTATTCAATTTTTCAGTTTAGAAATACATTTTGAGTCCAAGTAAACAAATCACAAGATAAGATTCTTATCTAATTGAAGCTAAACATTTTTTCTTTAGGTGAACATTTTGAAATGACTAAATTCAATATTTTCCACATATCTTTTCATCCATATGTAAGATTATTGTGATTGCAATGATTACGTTTTCCACAATCACATTTAAGAAAATAACCTGAAAATGCTGAAAAGAAAACTAAAGTTCCTTATTTATTAACAAAGAAAGATTTTGTGTTTTATGGAAATTATCTTCCTTAGCTAGGTTAGGAATTTCCTTCAATTACCATTTACCTAGATGTCACCCTAAAATGAATGAGAACTTGATAGTTATTTTTCTATAATAAGGCAAACATCTAAATAAAATATAAAATTAAAAAATTATTTTGTATTTTTGTGACTTTTTATTATGGTAAAATTTCAAACTTAGAGAAGAGTTGCAAAAAAGTAGTACAAAAGACTAACATTTACCCTTTTACCAGATTGAGTATTAGTTTACATTTTCCCCCAAAGCTTTGTTATATCATCTATCAACTATCTATCTATTTATCTATCTATCTATCTATCTATCTATCTATCTATCTACCTATCTATCTCTTTTTCTGGGCTAGTTGAGAGTAAGTTGGAGATGACACGTTCCTTTATGCCAAATACTTTATTCAGTGTTTTTTGTCTAAGGAAAAGGATGTTACTTTACATAAGTCCAGCACAGTACCCAAATCAGCAAACTTAATATGGGCACAATATTATTATCTAATCCATAGTCCACACTGAGATTTCTTAAATTGTCTCAATAATTTTGTTAATAGCTAGTTTTTGAAAAAATCCAGGATTGTACACTGAGAAATCACATCTCACTAGTCTCTTTTCATCTGGACCAGTTCCTCACCCTTTGTTTTTCTACTTAAACTTGATACTTTTCTGAATTGTATAGGCAAGCTATTTCTCTCAATTTGAGTTTTTCTCATGTGTCTTCATTATTAGAATTAGTCTTCATTATTAGAATTTTTAACACAAATATCACTGAAGTGACAGCATGTCCTGTTCAGAGCATCATCACAGCAGGTTCATGATGTTGGTTTGTGCAAATACAGTTGATCTTAAGATCAATAAAATCACTGGTTATGGTGGTGTCTGACAGGTTTTTCTACTACAAACTTTACTGTTTTTCAGTTTGAAATTAACTAGAAAGTTGTGAGGAGATATTTTAGACTATTTTAGATATTTGTACATATTCTGTTCCCCATCAAATTTTTATCCACTAGTTTTTGCAATCATTTATGTTTTTCTTAACACCGTCACCCCTTCTATATTTGTTAATTAGGGATCTACTGTAAGGAATAGCTTTATCTTCACCATTCATTTATTTATTCTTTTACTTTTTATATCAGTATGAGCTTTATAATTCTTCTTTTGTTAAATTCATTACTACTAATGGTTAAATTGTCCTACAATTAAATGATGGCAAGCCCTTCAAACTGGCTTTTATTTTTTATTCATGTGTGCTGATATTTTTGGATCATTTGTTTACTCGTTTTTTGAGTTTACCTTTCTTTTTTTTCTCTCAGGTAATAGGAAATGAATGATGATGGAAAAGTCAATGCTAGCTCTGAGGGGTACTTTATTTTAGTTGGATTTTCTAATTGGCCTCATCTGGAAGTAGTTATCTTTGTGGTTGTCTTGATCTTCTACTTGATGACACTGATAGGAAACCTGTTCATCATCATCCTGTCATACCTGGACTCCCATCTGCACACACCAATGTACTTCTTCCTTTCAAACCTCTCATTTCTGGATCTCTGCTACACCACCAGCTCTATCCCTCAGTTGCTGGTCAATCTCTGGGGCCCGGAAAAGACCATCTCTTATGCTGGTTGCATGATTCAACTTTACTTTGTTCTCGCACTGGGAACCACAGAGTGTGTCCTACTGGTGGTGATGTCCTATGACCGTTATGCAGCTGTGTGTAGACCTTTGCATTACACTGTCCTCATGCACCCTCGTTTCTGCCACCTGCTGGCTGTGGCTTCTTGGGTAAGTGGTTTTACCAACTCAGCACTTCATTCCTCCTTCACCTTCTGGGTACCTCTGTGTGGACACCGCCAAGTAGATCACTTTTTCTGTGAAGTTCCAGCACTTCTGCGATTATCGTGTGTTGATACCCATGTCAATGAGCTGACCCTCATGATCACAAGCTCCATATTTGTTCTCATACCTCTCATCCTCATTCTCACTTCTTATGGTGCCATCGTCCGAGCTGTACTGAGGATGCAGTCAACCACTGGGCTTCAGAAAGTGTTTGGAACATGTGGAGCTCATCTTATGGCTGTATCTCTCTTTTTCATTCCGGCCATGTGCATATATCTCCAGCCACCATCAGGAAATTCTCAAGATCAAGGCAAGTTCATTGCCCTCTTTTATACTGTTGTCACACCTAGTCTTAACCCTCTAATCTACACCCTCAGAAACAAAGTTGTAAGAGGGGCAGTGAAGAGACTAATGGGGTGGGAATGAGCCTGTGTATGTGTCATATTAACAATATAACAGAGTCTCCCCTCACAATGATTCATCCTTCTATTTATTTATCAACCATTCTTTTATTCACTCACTCTGTTAGCACTTGCTGAGCATGTACTCTAACAAGGTCGTGGAGTTCCTGGTAACAGGTAGGAATAAAACACAGTCAGCCTAAATACCATTCACTTGTGGAGAAAACAGCTATGTAAAATCAAGATAAAACATCTATAGTGATGTTTTTCCATGGTACAAACCTAATGTATCCAAGACAGACATTTCTCGATTGAAAATAAGGCATGAAATTTGTTGTAAATCTTGATAAAAGCGAAGCTGTAAATCCTATGAAAAGATGATACTCTCAATTTAAAAATCTCTACAATATGTCTTTTAATTTCTTGCTTTTTGGGCAGAATACTTTTGTCTTCTATCTTTAGTTTAGTTAAATACACAGCAAAATACTTCAAATCCTTTTCTCCAACAATGCTTATTCTTTGTCGGATAGTAAATTTTGAGAGGAATTTTGGTCCATATTCTTTCATATCCAGTATCAATAGGAGAACAATAAGTTTTATGAATTGTAGTAAGAGAGGCTTTGAAACAGTATAGCAGAAGTCAGCATCTGAGATCCCTCTTTTTTGCAAGGCAGTGAGAAATATATAGGAAGTAAAAGGAGCTGGTAAAGCTGAGCTATGGAGCTTATAAACAAATGGTCATCATAGGCTAGGTATACTTAGGTGAGGTAAGTGCTTGGAGCAACTGCATTACCTAAGGAACTAAGGAAAACATTTGAGGCAAATAGAGAGGCTCTGAAAATGACTTGAAGCCAATGGGTGTATGAAAGAATTATGTGAAAATATATTGGAAAAATTTTATGATAGAAACTGTCATATGGAAAATGATAGCTTATTTTTATTTTAAAGCTTGATCTAATTTGAGTATTTATGGTTAATAAGTATATTATGTATGTCAATATATGTGTTTCAAATAAAGAAATCTATTTTATAGAAGTAATCATTTTGTTTTATATATTATTGTCAACCATCTTCATTTGAAATAATTGCGCTATACCTAGAGCAATTTAAACTGACAGTCATAGTCAAATGAAGCGGAAAAATGGCTAAAGGAGAATTCAGTATAAAGTAACGTACTTGCAATGCCTGAGTTTTCTCTATAACTCAAATGTCAGCTGTAGCTTTTGAGGCCTGTGAGATTTAGATATGATTGATTCACACACTATTTCCTAAATTATTATAAAAATAAAAACGCATCTCAGAACTTCCCTCCAATTTCTAGTGTGACTTGCAATTGCATTGATTCTGCTGACTTTATCTTCCTTCTGCATCTCTGACTCTTCCTTTATTTCTAACTAGGCATGAAAAATATGAGGCATGTGCCCTTGTCCTTAACCTTACCCAAGAAGTGAAGAACCAAGAATAATGTATGTAAAATGACTTTTAGCAAGAATTGGGACCACATACGGTAAAACATCACATAAAAACACATTTTTAAAAACTTAAAGAACATAACTTCGCCCTTTGAACTGTTTTCTACTATGGAAATCTTACGATTTGGAGCACTTACGGTAGCATCCTGGTTTCTCACCTACTCAAATATCCCCCCCCCCCCATCTTTATTAAGGATAAGTGAAAAAAATGTATTTATTTATAATATACAGCATAATGTTTTGACATATGCATAATTATGCAATTATTACTCAAGCTAATTAACAGATCATTAACTCACATACTTACCTGTTTTGTGGTGAGAACATTTAGGATCTATTATCTTAGCAGTTTTCAACTATGCAGTACAGTATTATTAGCTATAGTCACCATACCGTAGAATAGATCTCTTGAATTTGTTCCTTCCATCTGAAACTTTGTACCCTTTGACCAATATCTCCCCATTTTCCCTATTTCTCTCCACTGCTAACCCCTGACAAGCATCTTTCTGCTACTCTGTGCTTCTATGATTCATTTTATGTCGATTTCACATATGAGATCATGCAGTATTTGTTTTTCTGTGCCTGGCTTATTTTACTTAGCAAAATGTCTTCAGGTTTGCCATGTTGTTGAGAATATTAAGACTTCCTTCTTGTTTTCAGGCAGAATAGTATTCTATTATATATATACTACACTTTCTTTATTCACTCATTCATTGACAGACACTTAGATTGATTCAATACCTTGGCTATTATGAATTTGCTGTCATAAAGATGGGTGTATAGATAGCTTTTCAACATAGTGATTTAATTCTTTTGGATATATACCTAGAATATATACAAATGGATCATACGGTAGTTCTATTTTTATTCATTTATTTTTAATTTATATATTTATTTATTTATTTATTTTTTATTTATTTATTTATTTATTTTTATTATACTTTAAGTTTTAGGGTACATGTGCACATTGTGCAGGTTAGTTACATATGTATACATGTGCCATGCTGGTGCGCTGCACCCACTAACTCGTCATCTAGCATTAGGTATATCTCCCAATGCTATCCCTCCCCCCTCCCCCCACCCCACCACAGTCCCCAGAGTGTGATATTCCCCTTCCTGTGTCCATGTGATCTCATTGTTCAATTCCCACCTATGAGTGAGAATACACAGTGTTTGGTTTTTTGTTCTTGCGTTAGTTTACTGAGAATGATGATTTCCAATTTCATCCATGTCCCTACAAAGGACATGAACTCATCATTTTTTATGGCTGCATAGTATTCCATGGTGTATATGTGCCACATTTTCTTAATCCACTCTATCATTGTTGGACATTTGGGTTGGTTCCAAGTCTTTGCTATTGTGAATAATGCTGCAATAAACATACGTGTGCATGTGTCTTTATAGCAGCATGATTTATAGTCCTTTGGGTATATACCCAGTAATGGGATGGCTGGGTCAAATGGTATTTCTAGTTCTAGATCCCTGAGGAATCGCCACACTGACTTCCACAATGGTTGAACTAGTTTACAGTCCCACCAACAGTGTAAAAGTGTTCCTATTTCTCCACATCCTCTCCAGCACCTGTTGTTTCCTGACTTTTTAATGATTGCCATTCTAACTGGTATAAGATGGTATCTCATTGTGGTTTTGATTTGCATTTCTCTGATGGCCAGTGATGATGAGCATTTTATATATTTAATTTAACTTAATTTTTTGAGATGGAGTCTTGCTCTGTTTCCCAAGCTGGAGTGCAGTGGTGGGATCTCTGCTCACTGCAAACTTTGCCTCCCGGGTTCAAGCGATACTCCTGCCTCAGCCTTCTGAATAGCTGGGACTACAGGTGTGTGCCACTGCACCGAGGTAATTTTTGTATTTTTAGTAGATATGCGGTTTCACCATGTTGGCCAGGCTGGTCTCAAACTCCTGACCTCGGATGATCTGCCCACCTCGGCTTCCAAAGTGCTGGGATTACAGTTGTGAGCCACCCTGTTTGGCAATATTTTTAATTTATTTAGGAACCTTCACAGTGGTTTTCCTCATGGCTGTCCTAATTTACATTTCCAAAAACAGTGTATAAGGATTCCCTTTTCTGCATATTCTTCTCAACATCTGTTATCCTTTGTCTTTTTTCATAATAGACATTCTAACTGATGTAAGGTATGAGGTGATATCTACTGGTGCGGGCCTGGACTTTAGGTCCACTGGAGCCTAGAGCAGTGGGGACCATCCCCCTGAAGCCTGGAGCTGGTGTGGTGCTAGAGTGGAACTTACTGCCTTGGGGGCTGGTCTGGAGTCCGGGTTTATGGGGCCCAGCTTATATGTACTGGTCTGGAGGCTAGATCCTTGGGTACTGGCATGGGTCTTGGGGCTACAGAGTCTGACCTGGGGGGCCAACTGGCACTGGAAAGTCCTATTTTGCCATTTTATTGATACCACTTCTCACTATCTAAATTCTTTTTTTTTCTTTTTAACTTTCTGTGCTCTTTTCTCCTTTTTCTCTTACAAAACATATACATTTTCTTTTATATGTATAGACTTTTCATTTTCTTTTGGGAGGTTATAATTATAGTATATCTAATGTTGAATCCTAGCCATATTAGCCTGTGCTGTGTAATTTGTAATCTGAGAAATAGATCAGTTACCAAAAATTCCACCAAAGATTAACACTGGTATTACTGTTTTTATTGTTTTGTACTTTTCAAACCAGTCGAACAGACTTTATGCAGTATTATCACAGATAGGACAACAGGAATGAGTTTTCTCACTTTATCAAACTGAAGGGAAGAAAATAGGTGGCTTGTATAACTTCTGGCAACTTGTATGTGAAAAAATCAGGGTAAGGACAATACATTTTTAGCTCTGACAACCCATTCCTATGTCAACAACACTGAAGGCAAAATAGAAGCCCTGAGATGCTCCCCTTGTCAGCCCTAAACCTTATGAAAACATTTGTGAACTGGGATTTCCAAAGCACACATGAATTTGTATGGCAAGCAACTTTACTGAAGAACTAACAGTGAAGCCAGCTTTTTCCCAGATAGGAATGAAGGCTAACCTCATGGAAGCATCAGCTTCTTTTGCCCTGTAAATTTCTCCTCCCCATTCAGACAGATGTCTCCCAGTCTTTGTCCACTGTATCTTATACTTGTTGCTGTGCAGCATATTCTTATATACATACTCAATTATCTTTTCTTATTTTAACTCTGCAGTACAGAATTGTTGGCACAAATATGTCATCCAGGTAATCACAGAAAGTAGCTCTGGCTTCCAGCCTAGGTACACTCCGTCTGTATTCTGCTATGTAGCTCAGGTTCATATCTCCTATTTTACATATGTGAGGCTGGAAAGGTGATTAGTGATCATATATTATGAAAACACTACATGATTTCAAACATAAGTTTCAAATACAAGTGATTATATACCAAGTATCATCCAACAATCACAAAAAAACTCATGGAAAAGTTATAAAAATAGTAGAAAGACTTACCATTGAGCTTCACCAGATTTAAAAAATCTTAGCATTTCAACATGTATGGTTTATCATTCTCACTTTATACTAATGTTAATATGCATTTAAATTTTTTTTCTAAACTATTACGCTGTAATGCACATGTTCCCCTAGGTTGTCACAAGAATATTTCCTAAAAAAGTATCTAATCCAGGATCATAAGGTGGCAGTGTGATGTCTCTTTTTTCTCTTTAATTGGGAACCATTCCTCAGTCTGTCTGTCTCTTCAATGCACCTTATAGTTTTGAAGAGTGCAGGCCGGCCATTTACTTTAACAAAATAATTGTTTTTAACAAATAAGGGGGATTTATTGCTTATAAAACCAAAAAGTTCAGCAGTAGTGTGGGCTTCAGGTATAGCTTGATCAGTGCTCTGGATCAATATCTCTGCAGTTTCCTCAGCTATGTCCTCTTCCATGTATTGGATTTGTCATCAAGTTGATTCCCCTCACAATCACGAAACATTGTCAGCAATAATCAGGCCTATATGCTTCCTTGTTCACATTCAAGAGGTTGAATATCATCCTATAATCAATGAACAAAAATGGCTCTTTATACAGAGCTTCATACTGACGCATAAGTTGTCTGCACATTCCTGGCAACATGTTTGGGACAAGGGGCGAAAATGCAATGATTGGCTGAGATTAATTGGGGGCCACTTCTGAAGCCAGGTTTTCAGTGAAAGGGCCATATATGCAAAGCCATCTCTCAAATGCACAAAGAGCAGATAAATCAAAGAAGGAGGCAGACAAATCTAGCTTGTTGGTTTGGGGTGATTTACTAAAGGAATTTACAGACATATATGTTGTCTTGGGTGGCCACAACATAGTTAGATTTTGCACTGCAGTCCTCCAGATCTAGGGCTTATCTTTTGAGGAAAGTATACTTGCTCTGAAAGAAACATGTAGGTAGCTACAGGTGCCATGGACTATGCTTCCTACAACAGCGTCAAGGGTTGTTTTGGAGGAAACTTACAGTGAATACATGTTCCTACATAAAGAGTAATATATCAACTTAACATCTTATAGGGACTCAGGGTTATTCAGAAGTTACACGGCAGATTAGCATTTAAAATAAAGTCACTCTTGCTCCTGCACTGGGGGTGGGGTTAATTTCATCCAAAGCACATGCTACACAGTGTAGGTGAGATGGGATAACTATTGGGAGGCAACAGTAATATCATAGTCTCTATTGTCTGCATGAGAAAACTGACCACAACAGAGCTAGTAAGTGATGAAGCTTGGATTCAAATGTGGGCTTTCTAACTTCACAGTTTGTTCTTAATCACTAGGCAATTGTTCCTCCCTATAGACATCTGAACTCTTTAAAACAAGAAGGTGAGGATTCAGTATGTACATTTCTTGGCTCTTTGCAACTTGTCATGGGAAGGTCTTCATTTTCTCCTATTCTTTGTTTTAACACCTAATATTTGAACCACACTGAATTTATCTTACTCTCTTACTGTCCTGAGGATGTTCACAAGAACTTTTCCTTCAAGGTTAAAATGTGTCACTTATACCTCAACCAAACATTTCATATTTGCAGCAATTATGCTTATTCACATAAGGTTGTAAATTCCTCAAGGCTCAACCAATGGCTGAGAAGTGTTTTGGGCCACTGTACCTTTAACAGGCCATTGGTGCATGAAGAACATCAGCGACAATGTCATTCTCCTAGACCACTGGGCAGTATCTGCCATATGTAGGCCAGTCGTTATTTTTTATTACCATTATTACTAATTTTTACTATTATTACTATAGTGGTTTCCAAATAATGATTCTTAAAGTTCCATCATTCCTTCTAAACTTATTAGTTTGTGTGGTAGGCTAAATACTTCCTCTCCTTGTCGCAAATGATCACACCCTAACCTCTGGGACTTGTTATTATATGTTACTTTACATGGCAAAAGGATTTTTATAGATGTGATTAAATTCAGAACCTTGAGTTGGGATTATTATCCTGAATTAGCCAGGTGGGCTGACATAGTCATATGTGTTCATATAAGAGGGAGGCCAGAGGTCAGAGAGAAGATAGTCTGCTGCTGACTTTAAAGAAACAGGAATGGGCCATGAGCCAAGGAAAACAGGTTGCTTCTAGAAGCTGGAGTAGTTGAGAAAACAGATTCTCTCTGAAAGCCTACAGAAGAAATGCAGCCCTGTAGACCCAATTTAGTATTCCTATCTCCAGATACATGATATTTTTGTTATTTTAAACACCAAATTTGTAGTAATTTGTTATAGCAACAATGGAAAACTAATAGAGTTGGCATTCTATATGAAGGAATAGCTTTCCTTTTTCCTGTGTGTGTGTGTGTGTGTACGTGTGGGTATCAGGTATTATTTATCTATGTGTCTACCTATATATCATAATATGGTCTTATGCATTATTATTTCATTCTGTCATTATTTTGATGCTGAAATGGTCACTGTTTTGGCTAGAGAGGACCCCTTCCAGTTGGCTCATATATCTTTTTTATATGTCTCCATACTTCTTAAGGCCAAGATGGGCAGATCACAAGGTCAGGAGGTCCACACCATCCTGGCTAACACGGTGAAACCCCATCTCTATTAAAAATACAAAAAAATTAGCTGGGCGTGTTGGCGGGCGCCTGTAGTCCCAGCTACTCGGGAGGCTAAGGCAGGAGAATGGTGTGAACCCGGGAGGCGGAGCTTGGTGCCACTGCACTCCAGCCTGGGCAACAGAGCGAGACTCCGTCTCAAAAAAAAAAAAAAGAATTTCTTACTGTTGGCAAACTGAGACGATCTTAACATATCTGACACTTTTCTTTGGGAGGAATAGATAACTTTGTTTATCTTAGGTCAAATGACAAAAACTTTGAATAAAGTACTGGGGTTTCCTAATGAACAATTCACTAGAAATGCATGGAATAGATAACACCAAGGCATGGTAATATTGTTGACAAATATTTATTTAGTTATAACATCACATTTCTTTACCCACTCAGGAAATGGAAAGTTTTTGTATTGTGCTTGAGAGTGAGGCAATGGTGAAGAACAGTGACTGGCTATGGGTTTGGGGAGTCATTTGGCAGGAGTGTAAATCCTTGAAATTTGAAAATCTTTCAAATTATCTTGATTCTCCTCAACAAAATACTAGCAAACCAAATCGAACAGCACATAAAAACCTAATTTCTTAGCTTTTTGATGAAATAGCTGTTTCCTCACCTTTTCTATCGTCTAGAGGTAACCTACATTCCTTGGCTCATGGCCCATTCCTCTATATTTAAAGTCAGCAGTGGAGTATCTTCCCTTTGACTTCTGGCCTCCCTCTTATATGGACACGTGTGATTGTGTCAGCTCACTTGCCTAATCCAGGATAATATCCCCATCTCAAGATTCTGAATTTCATCACATCTATAAAGTCCTTTTGCCATGTAAAGTAACGTATAATCACAGGCTCCACAGATTAGGGTGTGATCATTTGCATCCCAGGGAAAAAGCCTACCATGATCCCTTGTGTCCCAGGGATAAAGCCCACGATGATCAAGTAGGCTTTATCCCTGATAGGAAAGGTTGGTTCAACATATGCAAATCAATACATGTGATTCATCACATAAACAGAAATGAAAACAAAAACCACATGATTATCTCAATACACGCAGAAAAGGCTTTCAATAAAATTCAACATCCCTTCATGTTAAAAACCCTCAATTAACTAGGCATTGAAGGAACATACTTCAAAACAATAAGAGCAATCTGTAAAAAACCCACAGCCAACATCATACTGAATGGGCAAAAGCTGGAAGCATTCCCCTTGAAAACTGGCACAAGACATGGATGCCCTCTCTCACCACTCCTATTCAACATAGTACTGGAAGTCCTGGCCAGAGCAATCAGGCAAGAGAAAGAAATGAAAGGCATCCAAATAGAAAGAGAAGAAGTTAAACTATTCTTGGTAGCAAAAGACATGATTCTGTATAAAGAAAACCCCATAATCTTGGTCCAAAAGCTCCTTGATCTGATAAACAACTTTAGATAAGTTTCAGGATATAAAATAAATGTACAAAAATTTAGCATTCCCATACATCAACAACATCTAAGCTGAGGCCTAAATCAGGAATGCAATCCCATTCACAACTGCCACAAAAAGAATAAAATACCTAGAAATACTGCTAACCTAAAAGGTAAAACATCTCTACAATGACAATTACAAAACACTGCTAAAAGAAATCAGAAGTGACACAAGGAAATGGAAAAAACATCCCATGCTGATGGATACTAAGAATCAGTATCATTACAATGACCATACCGTCCAAAGCAATTTATAGATTCAATGCAATTTGCTATCAAACTACCAATGACATTGTTCACAGCATTAGAAAAAAACTATTTTAGAATTTGTATGGAATTAAAAAAGAGCCCTAATAGCCAAGGCAATCCTAAGAAAAAAGAACAAAGTTAGAGGCATCACCTTACTCAAATGATACCAGAGGGCTACAGTATCCAGAACAGCATGATACCGGTACAAAAACAGATATATACACCAATGGAATAGAATAGAGAACCCAGAAATAATGCCACACATCTACAAATATCTGATCTTCAACAAAGCTGACAAAAACAAGCAATGGGGAAAGGACTCCCCATTTTATAAAGGGTGCTGAGATAAGTGACTAGCTCCATGCAGAAGATTGAGACTGGATGCCAAACTTGCACCACATACAAAAATCAACTCAAGATGAATTAAAGACTTAAATGTAAAAATGAAAACTGTTAATATAAAAACTCTGAAGATAACCTAGGAAATATCATTCTGGACATAGGACTTGGCCAAGATTTCATGCCGAAGATGCCAAAAGCAATTGCAACAAAAACAAAAATTGACAAATGAGGCCTATTTAAACTAAAGAACTTCTCACAGTAAAAGAAACTATCAACAGTGGAAACAGACAGTCTACAAAATGAGAGAAAATATCTGCATACAATGCATTTGACAAAGGTCTAATATCTGGCATCTAGAAAGAACTTAAACAAATTTATAAGAAAGAAACAATGCCGTTTAAAAGTCAGCAAAAGACATAAACAGACACTTTCCAAAAGAAGATACACATGCGGCCAAGCATATGAAAAAATGCTCAATATCATTAATCATTAGAGAAATGCAAATCAAAACCGCAATGAGATACCATCTCGTACCAGGTGGAATGGCTATTATCAAAAAGTCAAATTATTAATAACAGATACATCAAGGCTATGGAGAAAAGGGAATGCTTATACACTGCTGGTGGGAATGTAAATTACCTTAGCTATTGTGGAAAATGGTGTAATGATTCCTCCAAGAACTTAAAACAGAACTACTCTTCCACCAAGCAATCCCATTAGCGGGTATATACCCAAAGGAATATAAATCATTCTACCATAAAGACATATGCACGAGTATGTTCATTGCAGCACTGTTCACAACAGCAAATACATGAAATCAACCTAAATGCCCATCAACAGTAGATTGGGTAAAGAAAATGTGGTACATAGACCCCATGGAATACTATGCAGTCATAAAAAGAATGAGGTCATTTCCTTTGCAGCACCATGGATGGAGCTGCAGGCCATCATCCTAAGCAAACTAAATGGAAAAGAGCCAAATACCACATGTTCTCACTTATAAGTGGGAGCTAAACATAAGAACACATGGATACTAGAAGGTGAACCACATGCACTGGGGTCTACTTGACGGTGGAGGGTGGGAGGAGGAAGAAGATCAGAAAAAATACCTATTGAGTACTATGCTTATTACCTGGATGATGAAATTATCTGTACTCCAAACCCCTGTGATGCGCAGTTTACCTGTATAACAAACCTGCACATATACCCATGAACCTAAAATAAAAGTTAAAAAAACCTAAACCCCAAATTACCTTCAACCTTCATGAGTTTTTACATTTGAAAGTTAAATCGATAACTTAATGACAATAATTCAACTCTCTCATGCTTATCCCCCTCATCTAACCCAAAACAAAACAAGATTGGATACTGAGGTGAGGAACCTTTGAATTTTTAAATAGTATTAGGTCTAGCAGAACCTCAGAAAGACACGTTTACATTAAGAGGACTTTGACTATTGATATGGGCATGTAAGTTCTTTACTGCCACGTTCCTAGTAATTCCTGAATTGCACATGTATGAAATGACATTAATTCTCTCATACTTTAGGGTTGCTTGTCAGTGCCTAGAAGGAATACAGTCTCTGTGGCCAGTCTTCCTGGATCAACAAGAGCCTTGTAGTTTCCCATTTTTCATGTGCTAATAGTGAAAATGTTTAGAAAGCCCCATCTATCCTCCCACATTGGCATCCCACTGATGTGCTGTCCTGGTTGCTAGGTGCAGATTTAGGTTCCAAGCAGAACACTGCTAGTGTTCTCTGCAGTTTGTTGTAGAATCATAGTGTCTTGGCAACCAAAGGCAGATCTGGTGCTATGGAGGACCTGCTTACTGCTATGAGGTGTTACTTTATAGAGGTCCTGGAGAAGCTGATTGAGGCCACGTCAATGTTGCAAGGAGACATGAGACTCACATCAGAGTTCTATGGCTTAACATGGGGGATGGTGGTAAGTGCGGCTCTATTTGGATTTTGTAATTATAAAAGCCCACTTTATGTAGAGAGAAAAAAAAGAGTTTACCAGAGAAGTTTCTTCTGTAGTTGAAGACAAATGTAATGTTTTAATAAATTAGGCTGATTAAAAAAGAATATGAGTTTGGCGTGCTGGCTCATGCCTGTAATCCCAGAACTTTGGGAGGCAGAGGCGGGTGGATCACCTGAGGTCAGGAGTTTGAGACCAGCCTGGCCAACACGGTGAAACCCCATCTTTACTAAAAATACAAAAAATTAGCCGGGCTTGGGGGTGTGTTCCTGTAATCCCAGCTACTTGGGAGGTGAGGCAGGAGAATCGCTTGAACTTGGAGGCAGAAGTTGCAGTGAGCCGAGATAGTGCAATTGCACTCCAGCCTGGGCAACAAGAGCAAAACTTTGCCTCTTGAAAAAAAAAAAAAAGTGTATGAAAAGGTAAATTATTTTTCATGGAGTCCTGCCCTGAGAACAAGGCATCAAATCCTCTAAGTGTATAGGAAATTTGAGTTCAAAATAGATGCTTTGAAAAAAATAAAGAAAATGTTTTTGAAAAATGCAAATTTTAACAGATTTAGGGTATAGAAGTGCAGTTGTGTTCCATGGATATATTTACATAGTGAAGTCTGAGATTTCAGTGTATCCATCATCCAAATAGGATACATTGTCCTCAATAGGTAGTCTTTCATCCCTCAACCCTTTCCCAACTTCCCACCTTTTGGAGTCTCCAATGTCATTATTTCATTCTGTATCCACATGTACCCATTGTTTAGCTCCCACTTATAATTGATAATATCTAGCATTTGGCTTTCTGTTTTTGAGTTATTTCACTTAAGCCAATGGCCTCCAGTTCCATCCAAGTTGTTATAAAAGACATGACTTCAGTCTTTTTATGGGGAAGTAGTATCACATTTTAGAAATCCAATAGTCCATTGATGGACACTCAGGTTGATTCTATTACTTTGCTATTGTGAATAGTGCTGCGATATACATAGACATGCAGGTTTCTTTCTGATATAATGATTTACCTTTAGGTTGATATCCAATAATGGGATTGCTGGGTCAAATGGTAGTTCCATTTTTAGTTCTTTGAAAAGTCTCCATACTGTTTTCCACAGGGCTTGTACTAATTTACATTCCCACCAACAGTGTATGTATTCTTTTTTTCTCTATACCCTTGGCAAAATTTGTTTTTTTTTTTTTTGTCTTGATTTTTTTAATCATGGCCATTTTGAATGGCATAAGGTAATATCTCATTGTGGTTTTAACTTGCAATTCTCTTATGATTAACATTTGTTCATATGTTTATTGGCCATTTATATGTGATCTTTGGAAAAAAAAAGAACATCTTAAAGTTCAGAATGGGGCCAGGTGCAGTGGCTCATGTTTGTAATCCCAGCACTTTGGGAGGCCGAGACAGGTGGATCACAAGGTCAGGAGTTCAAGACCATCCTGGCTAACACGGTGAAACCCCGTCTCTACTAAAAATAGAAAAAATTAGCCGGGCGTGGTGGGGGGTGCCTGTAGTCCCAGCTACTCGGCAGGCTGAGGCAGGAGAATCGCTTGAACCTGGGAGGCAGAGGTTGCAGTGAGCCGAGATTGCATCACTGCACTCCAGCCTGGGTGACAGAGCGAGACTCCGTCTAAGAAAACAAAACAAAACAAAACAAAACAAAAAACTTCAGAATGTATTACATTCATGGCTAGGTTTAGAATATGGGTTGAGTCACTGGAAGATGTGTTGAATGAAGTCTTTTAAATAGTGAGAACCTGATGCCAAAATGACCTTAAAACTATGTCAAAAGAGAAAAACCCCACTTAAGACAGCAATAAAATAGGGTTTGGATGAGCATTTCAATCTTGAGGAAAACCTAACCTGTTTGCAAAATAAGCCTAAGGATTGGATGACAAGTTTACCACTGGGCAAAAAGATATTTATATCCTTGGATTAAGTGCTAAATGATAAGAAATCAAACCAAATATTTGAGTGAACAATTGATGAATATTCACTACTATACTTGGAGAAGATAAAATGGATGTTGGGACTTAGAACTAGATCAAATCAGAATGAGTATCGATCAATGTTCAGTCAAAGGGGGTTGGAGGAAATTTGTTTATGCTTCTTAAAACGCTTTTTTTTTTCTTTTTTGAGACGGAGTCTTGCTCTGTTGCCCAGGATGGAGTGCAGTGGTGCCATCTCGACTACTGCAACCCCCATCTCCCGGTTTCAAGTGGTTCTCCTACCTCAGCATCCTGAGTAGCTGGGATTACAGGCATGCACCACCACTTCTGGCTAACTTTTGTATTTTTAGTAGAGACAGGGTTTCACCATGTTGCCAAGGCTGGTCTCGAATTCCTGACCTCAAGTAATCCTCCCAATTTGGCCTCCCAAAGTGCTGGGATTACAGGCATAAGCCACCGTGCCTGGCCTCTTAAAAGACTCTTCACGGACAGAGAAATAAAATATAAATTAGGTTATATGAAAAACATTGAATCGTGAAGCCTTTAAAAATCACACTGAACATATTCAGCATGAATTAAGCATTTTTCTAGCACGAAAATGTAGCTTGAAAGTAAGTAAGGTTCAGAACATTTAGCCAAATGTTTAAGTAATTTCTAAACTGTATTGAGAAAATGGAATAGTTTCATGGATTATATGTATTAGAAAAAGTTAATTAGAAAGTTTTCAAATACACATTAAGTGATAGATACAGAAAAAAAAAACAAAATTCTTAGAGAAAAAATGAAAAAACTGACCTGTTCTTATCAAAGACATGATTTCCCATATTTAAAAAAGCTTGTAATAATTGATTTACAATTAAGTTGACTGAAGAAAATCTCACTGATTTAAGAAAATCTATATGAAAGTCCAGATGCCAGTATTTTTTCCTATAAAAATCTTCATAGTCAATATTAAGGCTTTGTAAATTGAGATACAAAATTGAAGTATTATGAAAGTACTCATGTAACAAGATTGAAAATAAATTCTCACAAATTCCTTTGTCACTAAAACAAAAGCACTGAAAATTTATGCTAGCAAGAATGCAAAGTGAGGGAAACTCTCTTTGATTGCTGGAAGAAATGCAAAGTGGTGCAACTAATTTGACCATTTGGCAATTTTTATAAAGTTTAATATAGTCTTGCCATATGACTTAACAATCACATTCCTAAGTATTTACACCAGTGAATTAAATCTTATGTCCATGTAAAAATTTGCATGCAAGTATTTATATCAGTGTTATTCATAATTACTCAAAACTGTAAGCAACCCATGCCCTTCAATAGGGGAAAAATAATCTTGGGTATTTCCATACAATGATCTATGATTTTGTGGAAATTGATTGATGAATGAATACTATTGATCAAAGGGATGGAATGAGCTACTGATACATGCAACAACATGAATATTTGTTAAGTGTATTTCACTAAATGAATGAAGCCAGACTTCAAAGTCTGAATATTGTATGAGTTCATTCATAAGACATCTGGAAAAAGAAAACCTGTTGGGATGGAAACACACCAGTGTTATCCAGGGCTTAGTGTAGGGGAGATTAGTTGATTACAAAGAATACACGCAGGGGACATTTTAAATGATAGAGTTGTCTTGTATGGTGCTGCACTAGTAATATGCAAGTCTATGATTTATTAATCCCCAAGAAGTGTATCACAAAATTGCACTCAAATGCATGCAAATAAACAAGCAAAAGTTTCACCAAGATGCAGGAAGATCCTAGAATGGTATGCAGACAGTGACAAATCAATCTCACGTTATATAAATGTGTAAGCTAACGACCCTGAAAAGGGTAGAGAAGAAGTAAATACTGACTTTGGTTATTTTGAGAAATAATATTTTGATTAAAAAATGTCAGGCTAAAGAGAAAAGTAACTGTGCATAAGTACTGTATTCTAAATGGTAATTTTTTTCTCATGTGGGTACAGCTAATTTTGTAATTGCTTCACAAGCATACTAGTGTTGAACAAAAATGTTAAAAGATGAACAGTGGCATCCAGGTTTCTCACTGTTGGTATGAGAAGTTATAGGTAAACAAGAAAGGAAGGCCAGAATGATCATGAGGGACTGTGCTAGAGTCAGAGTTACACTGTGACATCATGTTTAAACACAAGCACGAATACACACGGACACACACATAGATGGACAAATATAGAAGCAATGACAGATATGTGTGTATTCAGGGCTTACTGTGTGAACACACATTACCTAGCCCTTTCTGCTGAAATAATCTAGAAACAAAGTTACCCTCACAGCAGTGTGTGCATGTCTGCCATGTCCAGTGAAAAGAACCAGAGATCCTTGGGGAAATGTCTGATTCTAAGATATTTCTAAGGCTGGTGAAAAAATATATAAGATAAGCCTGGAGGAGAAGGACCAGTAATACCAGAAATCAAGGAGGGGCCTTGAAGAGAAAAGGATAGCAAAAGGATGAAGACCTGTCCAAGACCCAGCAGCCAGCATGAAAGAGCTCTCAATGGGGAAAGCTGGAACAATTTCAACAACAAAATAAATAACATATCACTGGATTATAATCTGAAGTATAAAAAGTATGAGTCCATACTGTTAAATGATTGAATAAATACATAAATGGAGAAGAAGAGAGAAATCTTCCTTACTGATCTATTAATAGTCTCCACTTTTGGGGGTGGAGCTCGTGATCTCCTTCATTAAGTATAGGCTGGATTCAGTGACTGTCTTCCAAGGAATAGAGTATGGAAAGGTAACAATTGTAAGTTTAAGTTTTATTTAGTGCAAACACTACCTTAAGCAAGTGATTAAAGTCAGCACCATCAGTAATGCCATGTAGATATTATGTAACCCCTGCTCTGATGGGATAAAAAGGGCACTTTACCTCTGTGGTCACCTCTTCAAAAATTCAAAGGCCCAGTGTAATTGATGGCAGCTGTGGCCTGTGTGCAGTGGCTGCTGCCATGACGTTGGCTGCAGTGGGAGAGGTGCGGGTGGGGCTGTGCACTCGATGGAGCCCGAAGGAGCTGGGAACAGGCAAAAGCCCCCACCCCTTATGAGTTGGCAGGCAGGTGCCTTGTGCTCCCCAGGCTCAGTTGCAGCTGCCCAGCTGTGGCTGCAGACCCGGGTATCCCTGTGCTCTTGGGGTCCGGGAGCAGGCAGAAACCTCACCCTCCCGGGTGCAGCTGCAGCTGCTCAAGATGTGGCTACAAACCTGGGCATCCCTGTTCTCTTGGGTGCCAGGAGCCCTGCCCTTCTGGGTGCAGTTGCAGGTGCGCAAGCTGTGGCTGTGGATCTGGGCATCTCCACACTTTTGGGGACCCGGGAAAGAACCCTTGCCCCCGTGCAGACTCGGAGGTGCCTGCTCCTGCTGCCTGGCCTCTGCCTGCTCCTGGCACCAGCTCTGATCTCGGAGCGGAGTTGAGGCTGAGCCCTGGGGCTTTTGCAACCTGGCCTGGTGTGTGCATGCTTGGGGCATTGCTGACACACCAGCATCCTGCTGCCTGAGCCCCGCTCTGGACTTTGGGCACCAGTAAGCAAGGAAGGGAGGCTGGGGAGGTGCTGAAGGCAGCTTGGCCCTGGCCTGCAGGTGACCCTCGGCAGGAACAGCCTGGGTGCCATGAACAGTGGCAGGAGGCAGACAGGCTCCTGGACAGAGAGGGATGGGTCCCCAGTGAGGCCCCACCTTCAACCCAGGGAAGGCTTGAAGCCTGAGAGCCGGGCTGCCAGCCTCGCAGACTGGAGTGGGAATTTATGATGCTTTTTCTGGGCCTGCACATGGTTGCCCAAGGGCCAATCAGCACCTACTTCCTCTACTCTGAAGCCCATAAAAACTCCCGGACTCAGCCAGATTGAAAAAGATGACAAGACAACCAGCTGCAGAGAGGAGGTACCCACCCTAGGGTCTCCTCTCTGCTGAGAGCTGAAAAGGCAATGGTACGGCCAGCTGTGAAAGGAGCTATCCACCTCAGGGTCTCCTCTCTGCTGAGAGTTGAACACTGGTCAGGACACCCTGGCTGTGGAGAGGAGCTACCCTCTATGTGTCTCCTCTGAGCTGTTCTGTTGCTCAGAAAAGCTCCTTTTCACCTAACTCACCCTCCACTTTCTGCATATCTCATTCTTCCTGGGTGCAGGACAAGAACTTGGGACCCACCGAATGGCATGGCTGAAAGAGCAGTCACACAAACAGGGCTAAAACATACCCTTTCCTCACTCACCACATTGCAGGCGACAAAAAGGAGTGAAGAACTGCTGCCCTTCGGGGAGCCCAGACCTAAGAGCTCCCTGAGTCAGGGCTGTGACAGCCTCTTTGGCTCTGTGGTTCCTGGTGTCTCTTAGCTTCTGGGCACCACTGCATTCTGCAGCATCAGCCATGGAAGCTGCTTGCAGTACACCTGCTCCAGCTGCAGCCTTGCAGGGAGCTGGTGCCTGTGTTGGTGCCTGGAACTGCCTGCCCTGCCACAGCAAGCATGCCTGGCTGTGTGCAGTAGGTGGACCCCACACTTTCTCGCTCATACACGCCTCGCTGCTCTGCTTGCCCTTGGCAGGTATGGGATCCAGGCTGGTATTGTGAGCTGAGCACAGCCTGCTAGGCTGAGTGGGCCAGTGGGCCTGAGGAAAACTTGGGCATAGGTGCCACTAGGGACAGAGGTTTTCGCTGGTGAAGTGATACCCCAAGGATCCCATAACATAATCATGAGAAAACATCGGACAAACCATGATTGAAGTGCATTTTATAACATACCTGAGCAGTACTCAAAATTATCAATATCAAGAAAAACAAGGAAACAGATTCAGGAAACTGAAACATGACAACTAAATGCAATGGGGTGTTCTGGATTGAATTTTGCAACAAAAAAAGAACATTAAAGAAAATCCTGCTGAAATCCAAAGATAGTCTGGAGTTTCAGTGATAGTAACATACCAATGTTAGTTTCCTAATTTTGAAAAATAAACCAGAGAAATGTAACATTAAGGGAAAGTGAAACTGGGTAAGGGGTATTTGGGAATTCTCCATGCCATCTTTGCAACTTTTCTGTAAAGCTAAAATTATGTCAAAATAAAGCATGTATGAAAAATGTATTACACAGATGGGAAGGAACAAGATGTCCAACTAGATGCAGCCAGGAAGCACCGCTTTCACTGAGAGAGACCAAATTATCGAGTAAATCAACATAAATTGGACAGATCTTAGGAAAGAAAATGCTGAGCGTGAAGAGGCAAAGCTAAAGCTGAGGCTGTAGAGACAGAAAGCTGGGGACCCTGCTGTTGGGATGGCTTCTGGGAAATTGGCGAATGAGGGAACTGAGGGAATGCTCACTCTTGTCATGGACCTCTGGGATCCTAGCTACAAGAGACTGAATGCCCCCCATAAAGGTGTTAGCTGACAGGGGGATCTCCCTGGCGAAGGTTAACACCGCTTCCTCAACCCCTTCACACACAGACACTTACAGATCACGTAAATGGAAACTCTTCAGGGGATGAGGGAGAATGCAACTCTCTGAGTGTCTTGGTATCAGCAACAGCACAGGTTAGTAATAAGCCCTGAGGCAGGGAAAGTGATCTCATATCAGGAGTAATTGAATGTGAATCATGGGGAAAATTGAGAGATGTATTGGGATCAAGTGGTACTTCAGTTTTCCCCTTAGCCAAAATACATCCCAGAACTTTCTAAATCAACTAGTGCAATGAACTATACTGAATTTTTATTCATGACTTCATTACACTACTAAAAGATAAAGTCTCTACTCCGGCTTCTAGGTTAATAGTAGCAAAGTATAATATGCCTATTTAAAATGGTCCTATTACCTAAAAAAGTTGATCTCATGGAAGTAGAGAGTAGAAGAGTGGTTACTAGAGGAGCTGGATAGGGTAGGGTGAAGAGGGGAATGAGGAGAGTATGATCAATAGGTACAAAGTTAGAGTTAGCATGAATAAGTTGTAGTGTTTCACTGTACCATAGCGTGACTGTTGTTAACAATAATATACCGTATATTTCAAAATAGGTAGAAAAGAGGATTTTGAATGATCTCGTCACAAAGAATTGATAAATGTTCAAGGAGATGAATATGCTAATTACCCTAATTTGGTCTCTATACATTGTATATCTATATCAAAACATCATATCTCATAAGCATGTACAATTATATGTGAACTAAAAGGAAAATGGAACTAAATAAAGTAAAATAAAATGGTCCTGCAACATTTTAGCCAGAAAGAAAGGAAAACATATTTTAGGCAGAAGGACAGTGGAAAAGAGAAGACAATATTTGATGTTTAATTTTCACAGTTAATGCAAAACAAAAGCGATAGAACAAAAGTTTATGCCATTTTCACCAATAGAACCATTTTGGAATAGGATCATAAAAAATCAGGTTATAAATTACTGCTAATAATAGCTGACAATTGACTACAGCCAAATAATGAGTTCAAAAGCATTTTATCATGTTCCATTTTCAGATTTTTTAGATAGTAATTAAAACAATGAATAATTTAGTAGCAACTTTATGTTAAAGGCATAGTTAAATGCATAGATAGAACTATTCACAGGAGTTTCACAGACAATAGACCATGTGTCAGTCCTTTATTATAAATATTTTAAAAGGAATGCATCTCAAATTTTTTCCTTCAGCCATAAAATCTTTGTTTCAAGTGAGATGTTTGTTAAAGTACTTGGTATACCGACTGTCATTTAAAAATCTAAAGACATTTTTTTCAGATAGTTTTCTCAAATAGAAAAGACAACCTGGCCATTTCTTGCCAATTATGAATTTTAAAATACAGTCTTAATTATAATATGATATAATGTTCATACTAAGAATTGTGCTCATGCAAATTGAACGTATTAATCAGAAAATAATTTATGTTAACATATTCCTTAGTTCATATAGAAAAGCCACATAATACCTATATACTAACAAAGCTATTGATGTACATAGATGACCAGTCAAAATTACTTATTAATAGCCTTATAATGTGACTTGTCAGATGTGCCCATTTGCCTAAGAGTCACATAGTGAATTCAGATTCAGTCATTAGTTGGTACTCTTTCTAGCAAAATAGCTTCTATGGATTCAAGAAAGAAATGATTAGAGGATTTGCTGCACTTAAGAATTTGAGATCTGAGATAATGAATCCCCTGAGATAGAAGAAGATGATGTCCCCATGGTGCAGTTAACTCTACTGTTTGCTCAGTGGAAGGATATTGGAATCATAGCAAGGGGAGAAATTCCAGAAGCAAATTTTAAAGCAGTTTCTCTGCAAAAACATTTGAATCCTCTCTATTGCCCACTGAGCCCTGCCTCCTCACTATCCTAATGCAGACAGCATATCACATATCACATATATTAAAACAACCTTAAGTTGGACACTTATCAGTGTTTCTTATAAATACTATTATTTTACTTTGAAGAGTTTTTCTGGGGAAAGGGGATTACAGACTCTAAGACTTAGAAGTGTCTGCAGAAACTACTGTTGTCCACTTCCCAATATTAATTCTTGTTAAAATGTATATTATATATCATACTAAGTATGGTATGCATAAACCCTTTATCTTAATATAACATCATGTTAAATTGTTGGATATCTTTAATGTCTCCAAAAAAGAAATGCTAAAATTTCATTTAGATTTATCCTTTATAAATAAAATTTTTGATAACAATTAATTCTCTTTTTGCAAGTAATGTCTTTTTTTTTTTTTTTTTTTTTTGAGATGGGAGTCTCACTCTGTTGCCCAGGCTGGAGTGCAGTGGCACAATCTCCACTCACTTTAACCTGTGCCTCCCAGGTTGAAACCATTCTTGTGCCTTAGCCTCTCAAGTAGCTGGGACCACAGGCACATGCCAACACACCTGGCTAATTTTTATAATTTTAGTAGAGATGGGGTTTCACCATGTTGGCCAAGCTGGTCTTGAACTCCTGACCTCAGGTGGTCTGCTCATTTTGGCCTCCAAAAATTCTGGGATTATAGGCGTGGGCCACTGCTCCCGGCCAACTGATGTCTATTTCTTCTTGTAGATAATTAGTAACATCTTCCGCGGAATTTGACTTCAGTTTTTCTAGAGTCCTTTTAACTTCTGTTTCAAAAACTACTTTCCTTGATATTAAAGTCGTTGAAATAATCTACACCTTCTGCTCAATCCTGCAGACTTAAAACATCATCACCACTGTCTTTGGCTCATCTCTTTCCCAGAGGACACACATTTAACAAAATTTCCAAGTTAACCTCCTATGTTAATCTCTCACACTTCCCCCATCTTTTTCATTTTTACTTCTCTTATCCTACTAGAGAGCCTCATTATCTATTGCAAAGATTGTTGCAGTACATTTAACTAATTTCCTATGTTTTTGTACTCCAAGTGGTTTTTTACTTTGCTAAATGTAGTCATAAAATAAAGGTCTTACATTGTCTCAGGGTTTAAAATCCTTCAAGTTCTCATCTCCTATAGAAACACACATTCTTTAATATCAGCCTTGGTTCTGGTTCCTGGTTCTCATTCAACATAGATCCTCCTTTCAGTCTCCCATATTGCCCCATGGAATTTCAGATGGAAACATTGAATTCTTCATGATTTTGAATGTATAATTTTAAATTTCCATCATTTTTGCAAGTAGTTTGTTATAAGGTGGAAAAAGCATGAATTTTTGGTAATTGAAAGCTTTCAAATTCTAGTTCTGACGTACACTATGCAAGCTCAAGAATTAGTGAACCACATTTTCATTATCTATCAAATGTGGCTAATACATACCTTAAAGGGTTATTGAAAGATTAAATAAGACCATACATACAATATGTTTAACACTTTTACTAGCTCATGGCAGCTTTTCAATAGTTGTGAGTTCTCCTTTTTAACATGACTTTTTGATTATGATTATGATATTTCCTCAGCCAGTGATGTATTACTATATACTCCTATTAAATATTACAATTTTTATTTGCCTTTTGAAAATATTTTTAATTCTTCTTTGAGTACTTTAATTAGTCTTCTTTTTTCATTCCAAAGGCACATTCTTTTTTTTTTTTTTTTTGCTTCTGTGTCTATATTATTATTATTTTTATTATACTTTAAGTTCTAGGGTACACTTGCACAAAGTGCAGGTTTGTTACATAGGTATACATGTGCCATGTTGGTTTGTTGCACCCATTAACTCATCATTTACATTAGGTATTTCTCCTAGTGTTATCCCTCCCCCTGCCCCCCAACCCATGACAGGCACCCGTGTGTGATGTTCCTCGCCCTGTGTCCAAGTGTTTTCATTGTTCAATTCCCACCTATGAGTGAGAACATGTGGTGTTTGGTTTTCTGTCCTTGTGATAGTTTGCTCAGAATGATGGTTTCCAGCTTCATCTATGTCCCTGCAAAGGACATGAACTCATCCCAAAGGCACATTCTTGAAGGTGCATGTTAGCACTTCTTGCCTTGCAGTTATTATGCTATGCAGATCTTAGGACATCTCTAATATGGAGAAAGCCACTGTTAAACCTTCTTGAGTTCTACCTTAAATATTTTTCCAAATACATTTTTAGTGACTTTAAATCTAGGGTTAAAATGCTTTGTTTTCTTCCATTTGTTATTTAGGAAAGGCCTACTTGCTTGGGGAAATAAGAACTTTAGATCACTTTCCTTGAAAGGCAATCTCAGAATTGCTCATGCTTTACACAAAAGGTAGAGCACGCTTTCTCTTTCAAGTATAATGCGTCCCTTCTCTTCTACAGAATTTTTCAAAAGTTGACTGAAGTATCCTTCATGCTGTAGCATACTGAGCAGTATATATTCCCTGGAAATGCAAAGTCCAAATAAAACCTTTCTGTGGGTTTTCCAGTCCACTGTTCTGAGTATTCTTTATTCTGAGATTTTTGCATATAATTCTTAGGAAATCCTGATTTTTCACTGTGTCTAGATTTCACTCATGCCTCTGAAATGAATGTTTTTTACAGGACTTGAAGGTAGTATATACATTAGCCAAGGACGGAGGATAATTTGAGAGAGTCAGATGAACTGTAATGGGTTTTTATAGCAAAGCTTTTGACAAAAATCGTTCTGTGTTTTGCCTTCAAAACTAGAAATTACTATATACTTCTGTATATAAGACTAAGTTAGACAAACTATACCTTAACTAATAAAAATGATCAAAGCTATTGTCTAACACCACAGAATTAGGTCATGTGTTTGTGTGTGCATGTGTATAAAATTTGAAAACATTTTTCTGGCAATCAACCAGAAATATGCCAATTTTTAAAGTTACTTAAATTTTTTTCCAAACTAGATATATAAAAGTTCAATGATTTGAGGATCTGTATCAGCACCAGATGATCTGTTATTTTTCAGCAAGTGTATCTGGTTTGCAGTTGATTCTTGTTTGAACTAACATGAGGTTTTCCTTCCAATTATTGGCTTAGATCTTGATCATACCAGAAGTTATGCCAGAAAAGTCCAAATGACCTTTTGTTTTTCTTACAAGTATTTACTTCTTCACTACACAACACCGTGTTGAACTCTCAACATATTAATTCAACACCAAGTAAATATAAAATCTATTCATTTGCTCTCATAAATTGTAACTAATTTCGTGACAAAGTTTTAAGTTTTGGGGTGTGAGTCCTAGAACTAAGTTTTAGCACTTCCAACTTTTAATGATACAGGTTTTGTACATCATTTGCATTTAACATTTACATCAGTAAAAAGACATATTGTTTGTTGAGGTAATCAAGTTGCTTTTTGTTCCAGAAATGCAAATTATTTTTTTCTCATACTGATTCTGATTCTAACACAGTTAGTTCCAAAAGGCATTCCTGGCTGTTCCAAATTGTGCACGGAAATGCTTCCAGGTTGTGTTTCATTATTAATATCACTTCCTTGTTATCTCACTGATTCGAAGACTCATTATTATAGTATGTAAAAGGAAAGTATCAGAAACTTTTTCATACTTTTTGTCCCACTATTCCACTCATTTCAAAATTTAATAATAAATTATTTAATTAAAAATACAAAATCACTGCATACTTATTTGTTAAAAAAGAATTACACTGAATTTTTAAGAAGCAATAGTATCTACATAAATTGGGGTTGATAAGCTTATGAGACTCATGATTATTCCAAAGTATAATGTGCTTCACATTGAATGCCCAGTGTAGCCACACTGCCCATTTAGACTTGGGACAACATGCAGAGAGTGATGGAATGTTTCTCAGGTGACTCTGACAGGAGGCTCATTGATGAGTGGTTGCTATACTATTTTTACAATTAGCTTGAACTAATAAATTCATTTTACTAATTTTTTTACTACTTAACACAGTTACTATCTCTGTATGTACCAACCAGTATAGAACTATTTTAATATATTTCCATAATATAATGTGCCTACTAGCCAAGTATAATCCTTGCTGAACATGTTTACAAAGAGTCTCGGAGACATAACATATTTTGCAAGAACATGTAAAGCGATATTTGATTATGAGACAAGAATTTGTTAGATAAAACCATAGCAACCTACTCTAACTGTTCAATAACTTCATTTTATGTCTACCCACTATCACTTAAAGCTGAAAATGCTCCTCACCAAGTTGCGTAATGCCCCCTTTACATTCTTATTCCGCAGGGTGTAGATAAAAGGGTTGAGTGAGGGAGTCACCACTCCATAGAAGAGGGCCATGAACTTGGGTTGATCCCTTGAGATGGAGGAGGGGGGCTGAAGGTACATGCTGATGGCTGGGCCATAAAATAAGAAAACTACAATAAGATGGGAGGAGCATGTCCCAAAGGCCTTTTTCCTTCCCTTGGAAGATTTGATCTTAAATACAGCACTTCCAATACTAGCATAGGAAGCAAGAATTAAGCATAGTGGGACAGCTAACATAAAAATGCATACCACAGAGAGTGTGAGCTCGTTAGAACCCTTTTCACCACAGGCAATCTTTATCAGAACAGGAATCTCACACACCAAGTGGTCCAGTTTATTGAGACCACACAGTGGCAATTGTAATGTGGCAGTGGCCTCTGAGACAGCATAGATTATTCCAATTAGCCACACGGTGGAAACTAAGGATACAGACGCGCTGATTCATGATGAGGGTGTAGTGAAGAGGTCTGCAGATGGCCACATAGCGATCAAAGGACATAATAGCCAAAAGCAAACATTCTGTTCCCCCCATTATGTGAAAGAAATAAAGCTGAACCGCACACCCCATATAGCTGATGGTCTTCTTAGAGCTTCCCAGGTTAAACAGCATCTGAGGGACAATGCTTGTGGTATAACACATGTCCAAAAAGGAGAGGTTGGTGAGGAAGAAATACATGGGGCTATGAAGACGAGAGTCTAACCTGGACATGAGAATGATTGTGATGTTTCCCATCACGGCTATAGGGTACATTATAAGAAGACTAGTGAACAGAGGAAGCTCTAGCCAAGGGCGGTCTGCAAAGCCTAGCAGAATAAATTCTTCAGGGTGGCTTTCATTAGTTAGTGGCATTATCTTCAATTTGTTTCACCTGTAGTAGGGATATGCCAAAGAAGGTAGAGCTATGGGTATCGACAAAACATGGTGATGCATTGATTGTCTACTTATAGATGACAGGGTGCAGTAACCTGGGGTCAGAATAACATAAAACATCTGGTATCAGGTGATCTTATTTTCCTATGGGACACTACAAATTAAAGGCAGATATCTTAATCCAGTAACCCAACCATTCTGAAATGGAATTTCTTCTTCTGTGTAAGAAGGTTGACAATAACTACCATTCTTGAGTGAGGTGAGGATTAAATACAAAGTAAAAGTGACCGTATAGTTTTCAAACTTTGAGTTGCATAAAAATCAGCTGAGAAGGTTGCTAGAATGAAATTTATTGTTTCCTATCTTTAGGTGTCTGATAGAGTAAATGTGGCCTGGGGCTGAGGAACAGGATGGTTCATTTTCAGAAACAGTGCTGCAAGGCATTACTGAAATGCTAAGAAGAATAAACATATTGAGGTAGCAATGGTAGGAGAAAAAGGAGGAGAAAACCTGGAGTCATAAGAATCATCAAGATAGCATTGTCCAGCTCCAACTAGTTAGTTAAATAATCATATCATCTCCAAGGGAGGCAAGAAGACTTTTGGATTTAAATCTATCTCAGCGATTTGAAATTGAACAAGAAAATTAAATACTTTTATTGTCTGTTTTCTCAAGTATAAATTGAGAGAGTTAACCTACAATGACAAAGTTTCCCTATGCTCAGGAATTCGATTTTGCATTCTTGGGCTTTTATTCATTACGATTTAGTTCAACCTTTGGGCATTTGATATTTTATGTTAAATTTTAGCTAACATCCATTTTGAAAAAAATTTTTTTATTCAATGAGATTATCATCTTGCTTTAATATAAGAGTTTGGATAGTTGTCATGACCCACTGATTGCACATAACTACAAATATGTCTTTTAGTTCTGAGTGACTGCAGTCAGGACAAAAGTTGATGTCCCAATTTAGGCTTAGAGACAGTCAAATCTGAAATTATTTTACATTTTCAAGACCTTTCCTTTTTTTTCAGCTAGAAAGTACATTGATATACCAACCTCAACTAGTTTAGTGAAGCAGTATTTTGAGAAAGATTAATTTTTTGCTCATATGCTTTTCTTTTAGTGGTGACATGTGTTTTATGAATATCACAATTTTCTGCAGGATGAGAAATATTCGGTTGAAAAGTTAAGATAGCATCTCAGTGACAACATTCTGAGTAACTCTGCCAGTCAATTAGTTGTTTAATGGTAACAGATTACATTTATAAGTTTATAAAGCACAGCTTCCACATTCTCTGTTTCATTACATCTTCAAAGTCATCCTGTGAGGTGTCATACAAAGCTCCTCAGGGCTAACATGTGAATGTTGCCCTTTGATTATATGCTATCTCACGCCGGAAGTGTGCAAAACAATAATAACACTCTTTCCAACTAGTCCTTAGTGAACCCTCTGTGTCAAACACCCCCATATGCTTTCTACACCATTAAATCATTTAGTATCCATCCCCAAACGCTATGACAAAGAAAATTTTACTATCCATATTTTAAGATATTGTTAATCATTTGTTTCCATACTCTGCTAATGACTAAGAACATCCTAAAGATTGAAAAGTAATTGCTGCTTTAAATGAGGTAATAAAATATTGAGACTATAAACTCAGAGTTTCAAGAGCCCCAGAAAGCATCTGTACTCGAGGGTTGTTCCTGAATGAGTGTGACCCCCTTCACATTATTTGACCTTGATTTAATCAAGATGTTATATGAGTGCATCAAATTTAGAAATATGTCTTGGCCTGAGTGCTTTTTCAGATGAAAATCCGTATTGGAAATGAAAGATGAAATAAAGGCATGATATAAACTAATTTGATGTCAAAATAAATACAGTCATACATAGCTTAACAAGAGGAATATAGTCTGAGAAATGTATTGTTAAGTGATTTTGTCATTGTGTGAATATAATAGAGTGCACTTACACAAACTTAGATGGTATGGCCTAGTACACACTTATGCTATGTGATATAGCCTATTGCTCCTAGGCTACAAACTTGTGCAGCATGTTACCTTACTGAATACTGTGGACAATCATAATTCAATGGTAAGTATTTATGTATTAAGCGTATATAAAAATAGAAAAGGTACAATAAAATATGGTATAAAAGATAAAAAATGGTATACCTATATTGGGCACTTACCATAAATGGATCTTGCAGGACTTGAAGTTGCTCTGGGTGAGTCAGTGAGTGAATGGTGAGGGAATGTGAAGGCCTAGACCACTACTGTACACTACTATAGACTTTGTAAACACTGTCTATAGCCTACACTAAATTTACTAAAAAACACTTTTCTCTGTTTAATAATAAATTCATTTTAGCTAACTGTAACATTTTTACTTCATAAACTTCTTAATTTCTTTAACTTTTTGATTATTGAATAACACTTAAACCCATCATACAGCTGTACAAAAGTATGTTCTTTGTTTATATCCTTATTCTATAAATTATTTCTATTTTTTTAAGTTTTTTAACTTTTTTGTTAAAAATGAAGACACAAACACACACATTAGCCCAGGCCTACACAGGGTCAGGATCATCAATATCATTGTCTTCCAGCTCCTTGTCCCACTGGAAGGTTTTCAGGGGCAATAACATGCATGGAGCTGTCATCTCCTATGATTATAATAACAATATCTTCTTCTGGTATACTTGCTGAAAGACTTGTGTGAGGCTGTTTTACAGTTAACTTTTTAAAAATAAGTAGGAGTATAAAAAATCATAAAAAGTATAGTATAGCAAAAATATAAACCAGTAACATATTTATTTATCATCATCAAGTATTATGTACTGCACACAATTTTATGTGTTATTCTTTTATATGACTGGCAGTGCAGGTTTGATTATACCGTCATCACTGCAAACACTTGAGTAATGTGTTACATTATAACATTATCATGGATACAGTGTCACTAGGCAACAGGAATTTTTTAGCTCCATTGTAATCTTATGGGACCACTGTTGAACACATGCATGGTCAGTCATTGATGAAAATGTCATTATGTGGTGCATGCCTGTATTCTGAGAATTGCAAATTACATTATTAAATAATTTCACTATTAGATACCTGCTATCTTTATTTAACATTGTTATGTTCACCTTTTATATTTTTTCTACCAGGGACCATCCTTGAATTTTTTAAAAAGCAATTTTAGATTTGATCCTCCATGAATTCTTCCATAATTATAACTAATTATAACTACCTTTAATGACAATATTCACTCCAGTATGTCTTCCGCAATTTTATTAAATTTATATTATTTGGGATTTTGTTATTAACTTTATTAAGTATATTTTGTCTGTGAGTGGTGGTCACCCAGAGCTCCTCCATTTCTCTGGACATTTCCCTGAAGACATCAGACTAGGAATGACTAATCAATGTGATTTAATTTTGAAGTATATTTAAGCTCTGTAATTCTATTCTTAGATCTCATATTTTTTTCTCATGTCATTCTTGTATTTTATTTCTTTTAGCTTTGGGATTTTATCTGTCTTTTGGATCTTATACTTCAAGAAATGTTTCATCACTATTTTACTACATGGGGATTTACTTAATCACAAATGTTTAAAGCCACTTTATTAAAGTGCCAGACCCATGAGTTGAGTAAATTCCTCTCCTCATGGGGTCCCAAGATAAAGCAGGAATCCTTGGAATGTTAGAAAATGACATTCTTTACTTACCACAGGCCAGAAACCCTGTATAGGGACTGTGTAGGCAAGGTAGAAGGTCAGTTCCCCAAGGGGTTTTTATTGGCTCTATAAGTCAAGTTTCATTCCTTAAAGGAAAACACACCATTCCAGTCAAAGCCTTGGTAAAATAACCAATTTCTCCAACTGTGTCCGGCTACAAAAAAAAAAAAACAGATTCTTATTGCACTTATGCAAATAAATATATTGCCATCAGTTAAGAATACTCACAAATAGTCTCCAAATTCTGGAGAAATCAGGTAGAGAGAAACAAATATGGTCCATTTTTTTTTTTCCACAGAAGTATACTTTACTCAATTGCTAAAGGCTGTAAATAGCTCAAAGTAAAAGTTTTCTTAACTCTGGAAAACAAAACAAAGGGTTAGCAACGTTTTAAGCAAAGTCAAAAAGATTAGTTTATTCTTTTAGTTTAGTTTATGCAGTTAACTCCTGTTCTGTTTGATATTCATGAACATTCCTGTTCTTCACGAGAGTTGCAAAAGTTGTTTCCTCTATTCTAATGTCACAATTTCCAAAGTTATCAGAAACCTGCATTTAAGAACATCCGTTAGAGTTGTATAGCTGACTATAAACCACCTTTTGAAGAGGATTAAAACAAGACAATTGTCTGTGTATGACAAAACTCGTTACCACAGCCACTGGCAAAAACGTGATTGACAAAGAAATTTTGGTAATGTATAAAATAATTATTCTTGTTCCACTTTATACAAATAATCAGGCCAAGTGCAATAAAGTAAATCAGTCTTATCATAATTTGTCTTCAGTAAAAATGAGAAACTGAAGTGAGAAAAATTATGTTTCAAGAAGTATGGTACACTTGTTATTAAATTCTAGTCTCATGAGTTGTTTTTAAGTTTGTTTCTACAATTTAGGCTAAACCTGCTTATTCCTGTGAACCAACCAGTGATCTTAGACTGTTACTCAGAAGATACAAGAGGTTTGGGTAATGTAAAAATCTGGACCAATATTCTAATCATGGGCACATATTGGAATCATCTGGCAACCCTGTATCAGCTTGGTTTTAACAGTTGCTCAGTTCATGGGAAGCCTTTAAATTTAGTTTACCTGGAATAATTTTACTTATTTTGCTTTGCTGCTGTGGAATACATTGCATTTGTACTCTTTGCATACGGATGCAGAATATGCTTAGTGAATGTTTTCTTAAATGGAACACTTATCAATCTTTCAGATAGCACCTCTTGTTGAAACTCAGAGTTATGAATGGCTCTCATCATACCAATGCTTTTTGACGAGCTCCTCTCTACCCCAAATACGAGAGACTCTAATTGTTAGGCAGGAATATCATTGCTCCTCTTAAGCCTGAAGAAGCTACAGAAGGAGATGGATCTTTGTCCCTCTCCAACCCTTAGGATTAAGGGTTCTCTTGTAAAGGGGAGGGAGGAAATGTCAGAGGCATGTGAGCCAGAGCAGCTCCATCTTGAATAGCAGCTGGGTAAAATGAGGTTGAAACCTACTGGGCTGCATTCCCAGATGGTTAAGGCATTCTAAGTCACAGGATGAGACAGAAAGTCAGTACAAGATACAGGTCATAAAGACCTTGCTGATAAAACAGATTACTCTAAAGAAGATGGCCAAAACCCACCAAAAACAAGATGGCGATGAGAGTAACCACTGGTCATCCTCGCTGCTACACTCCCATCAGTGCCATGACAACGTCAGGAAGTTGCCCTATATGGTAGAGTACATTTGTTTACAAATGCCATGGTAACATCAGGAAGCTACCCTGTATGTTCTAGAAAGGGGAGGCATGAATAATCCACCCCTTGTTTAACATATCATCAAGAAATAACCATAAAAATGGGCAACCAGCAGCCCTTGGGGCTGCTCTGTCTATGGAGTAGCCAGCCATTCTTTTACTCCTTTACTTTCTGAATAAACTTGCTTTCACTTAAAAAAGATAAATAAAGTACCAGACCCTATTCCTGTTGATGTCTCCTGTTTTATCTCCACTTCCATCTTCATTCTAGTGTAGCTTATACTTCATTTTTACCATACACAATATTTTCTTTATATGTACTGCACTTGTAGACTTTCTATATAGTAAAAGATCATAAGAAGAAATAAAAGTTATTTTTATCTGACATTAGGAATCTGCATGAAACACACAGACAAATCAATCCATCCAATTTTGAACATATATTCTAAAAATCCACCTGATTGAAAGAAGGCTTCATATTTGTTTTGGGCATTTAATATTTCTCAGATATAGTGTATAAATCTCCCTCTCAGTCTCTCACTGAAACCAAATTTAAAATCATAATGATTTTAAATGGGTTTAATGTTTTTAAATTTGGTTTCAGTGAGAGATTGAGAGATAGATTAATTACAAAGAGAAATCTAGTTGCTTCTTAGAACCACTGAGCAGCTGTTTCCAAAGGTTAGAAAAGGCTCCCTGAAATGAAATGCTCTCTGCCTTTCAGATGTATATTAGGCAGTGGCAGTATGATCTACACATATTTCAATTTCCCTAAGAATGCATGGACTTGAAAACGTGCCTTTTTACTCACCTTTTGATAAATATCTTTCAATAAAAAGGAATTATGAAGGAATACACTTGAATTTTTCAAACGTTCAGAGGATGGATAAACTGTAGTATACATGAGTATTTAAGAATTAGCTTCACAACTTAGGTTTTCAATTGTTACAGGGTTCCAAAGAGAAGAAAACATGGGTTAGGAAGACAATAGTAGAAAATATCAGAATGCTTTGTGGATGTGTTATTTGTAAGCTCTTCCTGAGACCTCTTGGGCATTGTTTTCCAACAGGCCATTAATCCTTATCCCAGATGAGGAGTTAGCAGAGAAAATTCCTTGGGACAGAGATCTCTATGGAAATGCTACTTATGTACAATTAGTTTCCTACTGAACTGAGGTTGGTAGGAAGTCTCTTCTGTTGTCAGATGTGTTTTAAAATACATTTACTCAATTTCCCAAAACAGTAGACACTAATTTTAAATGAGATGCAATTAGAGATGAGCTAGTTTGAATAAATGATTCTGGGGAACTTAAATGAGAATTCCCTGAATACCTTACCTCATTAACTTCTAGACTACCTCACATAAAATTTAATCATTTCTAGTTGTAAGAATAAAGGGGCACAAAAATGAGTTGAAAAGGAAGAAAGATAATAAAAAGATATTTCCAATGAGAAGGAATCAAGTGATAGTTTAAAACATTTCATAATATTTAATGCTTTCATATTAAAATGATGAAATGATAATTTCTTCACTCTCACCAAGCACATACCACATAACATTAGGCAGATACACAGATAACTTTGAGATTTTAAAAATTACATACAAAATGCATAAATACATTATGTTGAAAAACAAATTCAAGTGCATGGGATAGCAAATACAAATTTAAAGGGTTTTTTTTTTAAGATGGAGTCTTGCTGTGTTGCCCAGTCTGGAGTGCAGTGGTATGATCTCAGCTCACTGCAACCTCTGCTGTACAGTTCAAGCGATTCTCCTGCCGCAGCCTCCCAAGTGGCTGGGATTACAGGCATTCCCTTTGATGACCTACTGTCATGGTCTGTTGTCCCTCTCCTTTCTTTAAAGGTAACCGTTAGTGTCATAAGGGTGTGCATCTTTCCACATTACATATGTGCTGGATATTTTCCACTCCCCCTTCCTTCCCCTGCCCCAGATTCACTCTCTATCCAACCATGTTTGTTTCTACCCTGTGTTGTGCCTCTAGAGGCGAAATCAAGAGAATTCCATGATATTTGACTTCTGGTTGTGTTCAGCCAATGAGTCACCAGCTGAGGATTAGAGTGAGGCAGCAGCTAGTTTGAAGTATTTTCCCCTACCCTCTCCTTCAGATGGGACAAATGAGGCTACTTGTATTGCTCAACCAAAGATCACAGGTCATGGATGTAGCCACGTACAGGTTCTCTCTCTTTCTGCTTTGTAATAGTACTTTCTCCCTTTGCTACTTCAGGCCTTGTGTTGGTTGCTAAGCCTCCCAACTGTTGCTAGATTCAGAGTAGTCCATATATAATACATATACAGAAATCCCTTGTTGATGTTCCTAAATCCTTCTCACAACTTTGTATTTACTTCTTTTGTTAAACCTCTTTCAGTTCCCATAGGAGCATGCCATCTATTTTCTGCTGGGACCATAGGTGACTGTAACTTTCCATTACAAACAAAGGTCATTTCCTGCTTTAGGACTTTTGAATTAGATGTTTTTAGGTCTAAAATGCTCTTTCTTTGATTTTATCATGACTAGCTCCTTTCTGTGTTTCAGGTTGATCTCAAATGTCACCTAAGAAGGAATATCTAATATGAATATACTACACAGTATCTCTATATCATATTCTCTTTTAATTTTCTGCAAAAGAATGAAAGCTTTCTTAGTTATTTTGCTTTTGAAGTCTCCCCCTCTAGTATGCATAGTTTTTGACAATAGCAACTTAAATAATACAATTAAATCATCTTGAACATATTGTTACTTGATTTTTACATACATATGTACACGCACACACACGCACACACACTTTTTGTCATTTCAGAGACAATGACTGATAAAGGAATTTTTTTCTTTTAAACACATCTCTAGCTTATCTACTTTTGCTGAATTCCATAAACTTTGGTATGTTGTGTTTCTATTTTCATTCTTTGCAAATTATTTGCTATTTTCCCTTGTGATTTCCTCTGAGCCATTCATTATTTAGGAATGTGTTGTTTCATCGCCACTTACTTGTGTATTTCACAATATTTTGCCTGATATTGATTTCTAATTTTATTCCATTGTGGTTAGAGGACATCCTTTACATTATTTTAATCTTTTAAATGTATTGTGATTTGCTTTATGACCTTATAGACTAATCTGTAGAATGTTTCATGTGCCCTGAGTAATATATGTATTCTACTACTATTGGGTGGAGTTTTCTGTAGAGGTCAATTAGCTGTAGTTAGTTTATAATGCTGTTCACATCTTCTATTTCCTTGTGGACCTTTATCTAATTGTTCTATTGTTATTGAAAGTGGGATGCTGACATTGAACTATAATTATGGAATTATCTATTGCTCCAAACAGTTCTGTTAGTCTTTGTTTTATGTAGTTTGGAGATCTGCTGCAAGGTGCATATGTACTTATAATTGATGTATCTTCTTGATGGACCAGCGATTTTATCATCATAAATTGTCCTTCTTTGTTTCCAGTAATAATTCTTGTCTTTTTGTTGATATTGTGTAATATCAGTATAGCCATCCATTAGCACTCTATCTTGCTTACTCTTTGAATGGAATACTTTTTTCATCTTTTCAGTTTCAACCTATTTGCATTTTTGAATCTAAAGTGAATATATTGTTGACAGTATATCATTGGATTGTCTTTTTAAATAAACCTTGTGAATCTCTTCCATTTTTTAAATGAATAGACTATTTTTCAGAAGCTTTAGGTTTACAAAAAATTGAATGGAAGGTGTAGAGAACTCACATGTAACCCCTTTTACTCCCTCCCCCAGAGTTTCTTTTATTATTAACAACTTGCATTCATGTGGTACATTTGTTATAATTGATAAGCCAATATTAATACGTTATTAGTAACCAAATTCCATAGTTTACATTAGGGTTGATGGTGTGTGTTTTACATTCTATGGGTTTTGACAAATGTTTAATAACATGTATTCCCCCATTCAGTATCATAAAGAATGGTTTCACTGCCTTAAAAATTCCCTGTTCTCCTTCCATTCATCATTTCCTCCCCTCCTCCCCGGGAGCCCCTGACAACCACTGATTTTTTATTGTTTCCATAACTGTGCTTTTTCCAGAATATCATACAATTGAAATCATATATAATATAGACTTTTCTGACTGGCTTCTTTGACTTAGTAATATGCATTTAAATTTCTTCCAGGTCTGGGCTTTACAACTCATTTTTTATAATTGAATAATATTCCATTCTATGAATGTACCACAGTCTGCTTATTCATTCATTTATTAAAGGACTTTTTTTTTTTTTTGCTTCCAAGCTTTGGAAATTAGGAATAAAGCTACTGCAAACATTTGTGTACAGGTTCTGTGTGGACATAACGTTTCAGATTATTTGGGTTAATACCAGGACACGTGAGTGCTGGATTCTATGGTTAAGATGTTTAGTGTTGTATGAAACTGTCCAGTTGTCCTCTAGAGTGGTTGTACACTTTTGGATTTCTGTAATCAGTGAATGAGAGTTCCTGTTATTTATCTCTTTGTCAACATCTGATGTTTTCAGTGGTTTGCTATGGTTGATAATGTCTCAGATTTCTTTAGGCTGTTTTATTTTTCTTCATTCTTTTTTCTTTTTATTACTCTGACTAGATAATCTCAATTGACCTATCTTGTAGTTTGTTGATTCTTCCTTCTGCTTGTTAAAATCTGGTGTTCAGGTCTTCTGCTGCATTTTTTATTTCCATCACTGTACTTTTTCATCTCTAGAATTTGACTTGGTTCTTTAACAACAAATAATGTCTATCTCTTTAATAATTTTCTCTATTTAGTGAGAAATAGTTGTCATATCTTCCTTTAGTTCTTTAAACATGGTTTATTTCAGCTCTTTGACCCTATTTT
Organism: Homo sapiens; assembly: GCF_000001405.40. Taxonomy (NCBI): domain Eukaryota; kingdom Metazoa; phylum Chordata; class Mammalia; order Primates; family Hominidae; genus Homo; species Homo sapiens. Next base: position 414,774 of record NT_167245.2, read on the forward strand.
TAAAGTAGCTGATGTAAGCCTTTGTCCAACAAGTTCAACACCTAGATTTGCTGCTATTGATTGCATTTCCCCCTCCTTTTATGACCCATACTTCCTGTGTCTTTCTTCACTTGTATTATAATTTTATGTTGAAAACTAGATACTTCATTTCATTTATTTTTATTTTTAAAACTTTTATCTTAAGTTCAAAGGTACATACGCAGGTCATGGGGGTTTGTTGTAGAGATTATTTCATCACCCAGGTATTAAGCATAGCATCCATTAGTTATTTTTCCTGATCCTCTCTGTCCTCCCATCCTCCACCCTCCACCAGGCCACAGTATGTATTGTTTCCCTCTATGTGTCCATATGTTTTCATCATTTAGCTCCCAGTTACAAGTGAGAACATGTGGTATTCAATTTTCTGTTACTGTGTTAGTTTGCTAAGGATAATGGCCTCCAACTCCATCTATGTTCCTGAAAGGGACATGATCTCATTCTTTTTTATGGCTGCATAGTATTCCACGGTGTGTATGTACCACATTTTCTTTATCGAGTCTATCATTGATGGGCATTTAGGTTGATTCCATGTCTTTGCTATTGTGAGTAGTGCTCCAATAAACATATGTATGCATGTGTTTTCACAATTGAACAACTTATATTCCTTTGGGTGCTTACCCAGTAATGAGATTGGTGGGTCAAATGGTATTACTGTCTTTAGAACTTTGAGGAATTGCCACAATGCCTTCCACAATGGTTGAACTAATTTACACTCCCACCAACAGTGTATACATGTTTGTTTTTCTCCATAACCTTCCCAGCATCTGTTCTTCTCTGACTTTTTAATAATAGCCATTCTGACTGGTGTGATAAGGTATCTCCTTGTGGTTTTGATTTGCATTTCTCTAATGATCAGTGATGTTGAGCTTTTTTCATATGATTGTTGGCTGCATGTATGTCTTCTTTTGAAAACTGTCGGCTCATGTTCTTTGCTCACTTTTTAATGGGGTTGTTTTTCTTTCTTATAAATTTGGAAAACTAAATATTTTAAATACTAGAAATGGCAACTGTGGAAACCAGATTCTCCCTGTCTCACTAGAATTTGTTGTTGCTGCTTATTAATGTAGTTGTTGCTGCTTATTAATGTAGTTGTTGCTTGCTTGTTTAGTGAATACTCCCAAATAATTCTCTAAAGTCTGCCTTCTTTGTGGTGTAGGGCCATTAAAATCTGTACTCAGGTAGTCTAGTGGCCAGCAAATAATTGGACAGAAATTTCTTTCAATGCCTGGGACTAATAAATCTTCCAGTTTCTGTCAAAGACCTCTATGTTCATATTGAGGCATGACTCTGACACCTAGTCAGGCAGTTCACATCTCTACCTTAGCCTCCACTTACTTCTTCCTGAAATACTGAAGGTCAGCCAGAGACAAGAGTTTAGAATCTTCTCAGTTCTTGCTTGAGCATTTATAGAGTCCTGAATCTGAACACAGCCATATGCATATACATGAAATTCCTGGCATATGGCAAAGATTTTCAAAATCCCTATAGACATCCCATTCCTTACATTTTTTAAGCTCTTTTATTGCTTTATGGTCTGCCCCAACTTTTATCAATTGCTTTAGTCAGAAGTGAAGTTAAAGCAGTCACTTGAAATTATTTTCAACAAATACCTGCTGAGAAAATGCTTTTTGCATTGGTCGAGGTCTGAGTCATGGTCAAATACAGACAGACTCATGAATGAAGTCTTCCAAAAAGCCCCAGCCAGGTAAATTAAAGACATATCTTTATAAGTTTATACATATATCTTTATAAAAGGTATATAAAATATTTCACTTTTCATTCTTTTTTGGTATTTTGGTATTTCAGGAGATTTGATTTTTTTTGTTTTGATGCTTATATTTACACATTAGTCCCTCTTTTAGGCATCATTGATTGGTTTTCTAAAATGAGCACTATATTTATTTATTTATTTAATTTTTCAATATATTATAGTTGTACATATTTTGGGGTAGATGTGTTTTCTTACACATATACAATGTGTAATGATTAAATCAGAGTGATTATAATATCTATCACCACAAACACTTTGTGTTGTGAAAATTACAATTTTTTTCTAGCTATTTTGAAATATACAATATATGTTATGCTAATATTAATAAATGTTAGTTGTATTTTCTCTACTGTATTATCAAATACTAAAAATTATTCCTTGTATCTAACTCTATTTTTGTACCCACTAACAAACTCTTTTTCATCTGTTTTTCCTTGCATCCATTTGCAGACTCTGATAAGCACCATTCTACCCTTGACCTTCATAAGATCCACTTTTTTTAGCTCCTGCATACCAGTGAGAACATGATATATTTGTATTTCTGTTCATGGTTTATTTCACTTAACATAATGACTTCCAATTTTATCCATGTTGCTACTAATGAAAGGATTTCATTATTTTTTATGGTTGAATGATATTCCATCATGTATATATATTACATTTTCTTTATCCATCCTTCTCTTGCTAGACACTGGTGTTGCATTCTTTGTGTGTTTCTATAGGTGAAGTGAGGTTCTTTTTTTTCTTTCCAATTTTTTTTTTTGCTTTTTTTTATTTTTAATTTTTTTTATTATACTTTAAGTTTTAGGGTACATGTGCACAACGTATTTCAGGTTCAAGTGGTACATGTGCAGGTTTGTTACATCAGTAAATTTTTTGTTATGGGGGTTTGGTGTACAGATAATTTTGTCACCCAGGGAATTAGCATTATACCCATTAAGTAGCTTTTCTTTTTTTTTAAACTTTAATTTTAGGTTCAGGGTACCTGTGCAGGTTTGTTATATAGGTAAATTGTGTGTCACATGGGTTTGGTGTACAGATTATTTTGTCACCCATGTAATAAGTGTGGTAACCAATGGGTTGGTTTTGATCCTCACCTCCCCCATCATAGGCCCCAGTTTCTATTGTTCTTTTCTTTGTGTCCTTATGTACTCAATATTTAACTCCCAATTATAAGTGAGAACATGCCATACTGGGGTTTCCATTCCTTCACCAATTTGCTTAGGATGATAGCTTCCAGCTCCATCCCTATTACTGCAAAGACCAAAGTCTCGTTTTTTATAGCTGCATAGTATTCTGTGGTATATATGTTTTCTGTATCCAGTCCACCACTGATGGACAACTAGGTTGATTCTGTGACTTTGATATTGTAAATAGTGCTGCACTGAAAATCTGCATGCATATTGCTTTATGGCAGAATGATTTATATTACTTTGGTTATACACCTAGTAATGGGATTGCTGGATCAAGTGGTAGTTCTATTTTAAGTTATTTGAGAAATCTCCAGACTTCTTTCTACAGTGGCTGAACTAGTTTTCATTTCCACCAGTGGTATATAAATGTTCCCTTTTCTCCACCACCTCACCAGCAAATGTTATTTCCTAACTTTTTAATAGTAGCCATTTTGACCGGTGTGGGACAATATCTCATTGTGGTTTTGATTTGCATTTCTCTGGTGATTAGTGATATTGAACTTTTTAATATACTTGTTAGATGTGTATATCTTCTTTTGAGAAGTGTCTGTTCATGCCATTTGCTCGTTTTAAAAATAGAGTTGTTTGTTTTTCACTTTTTTATTTGTTTAAGTTCCTTATAGATTCTGGATATTAGACCTTTGCCAGATGCATAGTTTGCAAATATTTTCTCCCATTCTGTAAGTTGTGTGTGTATTCCGTTGATAGTTTCTTTTGCTATGCAGAAGCTCTTTAGTTTAATTATATTCTATTTGTCAATTTTTGGTTTTGTTGTGATTGCTTTTGGAGTCCTCGTCTTGAAGTCTTCGTGAAAGTCGATGTCCAGAATGGTATTTCCTAGAATTTCTTCTATTGTTTTTATACATTTGGGTTGTACATTTAAGTCTTTAATCTATCTTGAGTTTATTTTTGTGTATGGTAAAAGGAACAGGTTCAATTCCAGTCTTCTACATATGGCTAGCCTGCTATGCCAGCACTATTTATTGAAGAGTTTCTGGCAGGCAGCAGGCAGCATATAATTTGGTCTTGTTTTTAATTCATTTAACCATTGTATGTCTTTTAAATAGAATGTAGTCTGTTTACATTCAATTTTATTTTTGATAGTTCATGCCTTAGTACTGCCATTTTGTTACTTGTTTTCTAATTTCGTAATTCCTCTCTTCCTTCCTTCCTTCCTTTCCTTCCTTCCTTCCTGCCTTCCTCTCTTTCTCTCTTTCCCCCTCTCCCTCCCCTTCCCCTTCCCCTTCCTTCCTTCCTTCCTTCTTTCCTTTTTTCCTTGTTATTTTCCTCTGGTAGTATGTTTTAATTTGTTGCTTTTTATTGTTAGTGTATCCATTATAAGTTTTTGCACTGTGGTGTCCATGAGGCTTACGAAAAGTATCCTATAATATAACATGTAGTATAAAACTGATAGCAACTTAACTTTGCTCTCATAAATAAAAACAAACTTCCAACTAAAAACTTATACACATTAACTCCATTCTTCACCCATATTTTGAATTTTGATGTTGCAATTTACATTTTTTATATTGCCTATCTCTTAAAAATTGTTGTAGTTATTATTTTAAATTGTTTTTAGTTTTCTTACTAAATAGGTAAGTGGTTTAAATATAATGACTTCATTTTTAGTATGACAATCACATTAACATTCTTTCAGTTTGGTGAACTTCCTTTAGCAGTTCTCATAGGACAGGTTTGGTAGTGATAGAATGAGCATTATTGAAATAGTTAATAACCTCTTCTTTCCTCCATTTCTCCAGCATCTATTTCAAAATGACAATTGATACAATATGTACTTTTTATTTATACAATATATACATACATACTTTTTACACAATTTATTTATACAATATATACATATTTATACTCTATATATATACAATTTATACAATATATACTTTTTAAAAGTTTGGAATGTTGTTATCCTCCTCTAGATAGAATTTATTTTTGCTTTTGGGAAGTAATTAAAGTAGGAAAACATCCCTAATTTTGAATGGGGTGGATAGAATTGGGACATACATTGCTGGTAGGAGCGTAAAATGACACAGACACTTTGGAACACTGTTTTGTGGTTTCTTTAAAAGTTACACATACCTTATGGCCCATTCATTCAACTCTTAAATATCTGTTCAAGAGAAGTAAAAACATTTGCTCAAATGAAGACCTGTGCTGAATATTTATAGCCACTTTTTTCAAAATACTGTGGCGAAAACCTAGAATTACTGTAAGTATCTGTCAACGGATGTAATGAATAAATTATACTATATCCTTATTATTGAACATTACTAGTAATGAAAACAAAACAATGTGCTGGCCTGCAACCATTTTAGATGAATTTCAAAATATTTTTGCTGAATGCAGAAAGCAAGACTCAAAATAATACACACTATGTAGATCTATCACTAAGAATTCAAGAACATGCAAACTTATCTATGAGGGCATAAATTAGAGTAGTAGTTGACTAAGTCTGAAATCAAAAGACAAAATAGATTTTGGAGAGTGATGGAAATGTTCTCTACCTTGATTGAGGTATTGGTATCATGGGTATATACAACTATAAAAATACTGACTTGCATACTTTAAATTATGTAGTTTATTTTGCATATGCTATCATCAGCAAAGGTGATTATATACTCTAGATTGCAGTCATTTTTAGGGCTGGCCTATATTCAGTCTATGGTTATTCATAGGTTGCAGCCATTCACCCATTCTAGCTGAAAGTCTTGGGTATTTATATGGGCCAAAATTTCCATTATTTGTCTCCCCAGAAATGTAAAATCATATAAGCCCTGTTTCTTAGCCTCTTAGTCACCAGATTCTGTTCTGATGTATAGCTGGTGCAAAAAACAAATATCTTTTTAAAAATATTTTTATTATACTTTAAGTTCTAAGGTACATGTGCACAATGTGCAGGTTTGTTACATAGGTATACATGTGCCATGTTGGTTTGCTGCACCCATCAACCTGTCATTTACATTAGGTATTTCTCCTAATGCTATCCCTCCCACAGCTCCCCACCCTCTAACAGGCCCCAGTGTGTGATGTTCCCCATCCTGTGTCCAAGTGTTCTTATTGTTCAATTCCCACCTATGAGTGAGAACATGTGGTCTTTGGTTTTCTATCCTCGTGATAGTTTGCTGGGAATGATGGTTTCCAGCTTCATTCATGTCCCTGCAAAGGACATCAACTCACCCTTTTTTGTGGCTGCATAGTATTCCATGGTGTATATGTGCCACATTTTCTTAATCTAGCCTATCATTGATGGACATTCCAAGTCTTTTCTATCATGAATAGTGCTACAATACACATATGTGTCCATGTGTCTTTATAATAGCATGATTTATAATCCTTTGGGTATATACCCAGTAATGGGATCACTGGGTCAAATGGTATTTCTAGTTCTAGATCTTTGAGGAATCACCACACTGTCTTCCACAATGGTTGAACTAATTTACGTTCCCATCAACAGTGTAAAAGTGTTCCTATTTCTTCACATCCTCTCCAGCATCTGTCCTTTCCTGACTTTTCAATGATTGCCATTCTAACTGGTATGAGATGGTATCTCATTGTGGTTTTGATTTGCATTTCTCTGATGACCAGTGATGATGAGCATTTTTTATGTGTCTGTTGGCTGCATAAATGTCTTCTTTCAAGAAGTGTTTGTTCATATCCTTTGCCCACATTTTGATAGGGTTGTTTATTTTTTTCTTGTATATTTGTTTAAGTTCTTTGTAGATTCTGGATATTAGCCCTTTGTTAATTGGGTAGATTGCAAAAATTTTGTCCCATTCTGTACATTGCTTGTTCACTCTGATGGTAGTTTCTTTTGCTGTGCAGAAGCTCTTTAGTTTAATTAGATCCCATGCATCTATTTTGGCTTTTGTTGCCATTGCTTTTGGTGTTTTAGTCACGAAGTCTTTGCCCATGCCTGTGTCCTGAATGGTATTGCCTAGGTTTTCTTCTAGGGTTTTTATGGTTTTAGGTCTAACATTTAAGTCTTTAATCCATCTTGAATTAATTTTTGTATAGGGTGTAAGGAATGGATCCAGTTGCAGCTTTCTACATGGTGGCTAGCCAGTTTTCCCAGAAAATATTATAAACAACTCTATGGAAATAAACTAGAAAATCTAGAAGAAATTGATAAATTCCTGGACACATACACCCTCCCAAAACTAAACCAGGGAGAAGTTGAATCTCTGAATAGACCACTAACAGGTTATGAAATTGAGGCAATGATTAATAGCCTACCAACCAAAAAAAGTCCAGAACGAGATGGATTCACAGCCGAATTCTACCAGAGGTACAAGGAGGAGCTGGTACCATTCCTTCTGAAACTATTCCAATCAATAGAAAAAGAGAGAATCCTCCCTAACTCATTTTATGATGCCAGCATCATCCTGATACCAAAGCCTGTCAGAGACACAACAAAAAAAAAGAGAATTTGTATTTCTGTGGGATCAGTAGTGATATCTCCTTTATTATTTTTTAATAGATCTATTTGATTTTTCTCTTTTCTTCATTATTAGTCTTGCTAGCAGTCCATCAATTTTGTGGATCTTTTCAAAATCCACCTCCTGGATTAACTGATTCAGATTTTCTATTTTTTCATGATTCATTGTTGTTATGTTTCTAGAAATCTAACCATTTCTTCTAGGTCATCCTATTTGTTGGTGTAAAATTGTTCGCAGTATTCTTTTATGATCTTTTGTACTTCTGTAGTTTCAATTTTAATGTCTCCTCTTTCATTTCTTATTTTGTTAGAGTCTTCTTTTTTTTCTTAGTTGGTCTGCTAAAGTTTTGTCAATTGTTTTTATCTTTTCAAAAACTGAACTGTTAGTTTTGCAAATGTGTTCTTTTGTTTTCTAGTCTCTTACTTATTTCTGCTCTGATCTTTGTTATTTCCTTCCTTCTGCTAACTTTGGGATTAGTTTGCTCTTCTCTTTTTCTAGCTTCTTGAAATGTAACATTAGGTTGTTTGTTTGGGATCTTTCTTCTTTTTTAATATCGGCATTTATTACTATAAACTTTCCTCCTGCTAAGAACTTCTTTTGTTACATCCCATAAGTTGTGGTACGTTGCATTTTCATTTTCATCTGTCTTAAGATATTTTTTAATTTCCCTTTTGATTTCTTCATTAACCCTTTGTTTATTCAAGAGCGTGTTGGTTAATTTCCACGTATGTAATATTTTCAAATTTTATCGTATTATTTATTTCTATTCATTTCTACTTTCATACTTTTGTGGTCAGAAAAGATACTTGATATGATTTCAGTCTTCTTAAAACTGTTGAGTCTTATTTTGTTACCTTATTTGGATAATGTCCCATTTGCACTTGAGAAGAATGAATATTCTGTTGCTGTTGGATGGAATGTTCTATATATGTCTGTTAGGTCCACTTGGTCTAAAGTGTATGTCAAGTCCAGTGTTTCCTTATTGATTTTTGTCTAGATGATATATCCACTGTTGAAAGTAAAGTATTGAAATCCTCTGCTATTATTGTATTGCAGTCTATCTCTTTTCAGGTCTACTAATGCTTTCTTTATATGTATAGGTGATCTTATATTAGGTGCATATATATTTACAATTGTTAAGTCCTTTTCATGAATTGACCCTTTTATCATTACATAATGACCTTCTTTGTCTCTTTTAACAGTTTTGGACTTAAAGTTCATCTCATAAAAGTACAGCTACCCTTGTCTTTTGCTTTCCACTTGCATGAAATAATTTTTTCAATCAATGTGTGTTCTTCAAGTTAAAGTGAACCTCTTACAGGCAGCCTACGTCTGCATATAGTTTTTCATTTTCTTTCCAATGCAAAGCATTTTAGTAGGTTGTCAAATATACAATTATTAGAAATATCTAAATATTACCTGTAAAAACTAGTATATCACATTAGATAATTCTATAAAATAAGGAAACACAAATCACACATTGCCACAACCTCTGCAGTCCAATAATATCCCCCGTTGATAGTACAAATTACAAATACATTTTTAAAATAAAGACATGATTTCGACATTTAAACCAAAGTAACTATGGCTAACCTAAATACATTCATTCATCAAGTACAATAAATTAAGCATTGCTACTTATAGTCACTAATAACAAAATTTTAGGTTCAATTTTACCTAAAATTTCATAAATCTTCCAATACAGTTCCCATAGTAAAGTGTCTTTGTGTGTGCCATTTTAATTTATATGCGGGTGCATCATATATCAGACTTAAGACTATTTCACTTCATAATTAAATTGTTCATACATATATATTGAAAGTGAACACCCGGCCAAAATTTAATCCCAATGATGACAAAATGTAAAATTGTTTTAAATTCTTGAATGCATATACTGATTTGTTTAATTGCCTGCATACTACTTTTTTTAATTAGAGACTATCAAAGTAAGTAATAAGAATTTAAATATTAACTCAAAAAAAGATGAAGCCTTCAACCTTCCTACAATAGTAACAAGCATTTTAAATAACAATACAAGGAGTCTGTAAGCTAAAAAGTAACTTCATATTCATTGCAAAACTTAAAATACCAGTGAATTGAAGATAAGATTGAGGTCTAAAATATTTGTACTGTATTGTAAAATACAATTTAAAATGTGCAGTTAATTTGCTTGTGGACATGTAATGGAATGTTTTTCAACAGTAATGTTATGTTAAACACACTTTAAATGGTCACTCTAAGCAAACATAACCTTACTAGCAAGAAAAGCGAAAAATTAAGGCTTTCATGCTATCTATATCTACTACACAAAGTCAAAAGTCAAATAGAGCTTACAATGTGGCAAAATATTTCTAACTTCTGTGACATTAGTTGCTTCACCTCAACTCAATACTTATCATCTTATCTTTATACAAACTCAAATGCTAGTTATCTTTACTATCCATAAATACAAATTAAACTAAGGAGCTTCCGCACAGCAAAAGAAACTATAAATAGAATAAACAGACAACTTACGGAAGGTGAGAAAAGATTCACAAACTATGCACACAACAAAGGTCTAATATCCAGAATCTATAAGGAACTTAAATCAACAAACATAACCCCATTAAAAAATTAACAAATGACAAAGGATGAACAGACACTTCTCAAAAGAAGACATAAAGGTGACCAATAAACATATGGAAAAAATTGTTCATCATTACTAATCATCAGAGAAACGGAAATCAAAACCACAATGAGATTCCATCTCACACCAGTCAGAATGGCTGCTATTTAAAAGTCAAAAAACAACAGATATTGCGGAGGCTGCAGAGAAACGCGAACGCTTATACACTGTTGGTGAGAATGAACATTAGTTCAGCCACTGTGGAAAGCAGTTTGGAGAATTTTCCAAAAGAACTAAAAACAGAGCTACCATTGGACCCAGCAATTCCATTACCGCGTATTTAGTCAAAGGAAAATATATCATTATACCAAAAGGACACACGCACTCATGTTCATGGCAGCACTATTCACAATAGCAGAGACATAGAACCAACCTAGGTGCCCATCAGTGGTGGATTGGATAGAGACAATGTGGAGTTCCGGCAGAGACCCGGGTGAGACGCGCTGACCATGGGCCTGCGGAGGGGCTGGGGGTTCAGGACCTCCCGCAGCCTCTGCCCTGCAGGCTCCAGGTGCCCTCGCTGTGGCTCCCCTCGCGGGCCCAGGCCTGAAGAAGCCGCGAACCTCTCTTCCCTACCCCACCTCGGTGACAGATGGCAGCTCCTCTCTCAGCCCAGACCCCGCCAGCCTCCATGTCTCCCGGCCCAGCCCTGCGGGGCCTAAACTAAGCCCCTGCCGAGCTGCTAGGATGCAGCGCATTTGAGTGGCTGCGGGCGTGGGGGGCCGGGAAGCATGGCGACCGCCCCAACTCGCAGCGGAGGCCGTTAGGGTGTGGAGGGCGCGGGAAGGTGGGTCGCCTGCCACTGGGGCGCGGGCAGATCGGACCGCTCTGTCCCAACTGGTCGAGACCGACCTAGTCCTGACGACAGGAACAACGGCATTAACAACGGCCGGAAGGTGAGCGGTGTCCCAGACAACGACGGATAGCGGCCACCTGGCCACTGGTCTTCCTTCTCTACCAGACCTGTATGTGGGAAGAGAGAAGTGGTGGAACAACAGGCCACATTTGGCGCATTGGAGATGAAATTCTTGGTTGAAAATTCTTTTCTTTAAGAATGTTGAATATTGGCCCCCACTCTCTTCTGGCTTGTAGGGTTTCTGCAGAGAGATATGCTGTTAGTCTGATGGGCTTCCCTTTATAGGTAACCTGACCCTTCTCTCTGGCTGCCCTTAACTTTTTTTCCTTCATTTCAAGCTTGGAGAATCTGACAATTACGTTTCTTGGGGTTGCTTTTCTCGAGCAGTATCTTAGTGGTGTTCTCGTATTTCCTGAATTTGAATGTTGGCCTGTATTGCTACCTTGTGGAAGTTCTCCTGGATAATATCCTGAAGCTGTTTTCCAGCTTGGTTCCATTCTTCTCGTCACTTTCAGGTAAACCAATCAAACATAAGTTTGGTCTTTTCACATAGTCCCATATTTCCTGGAGGCTTTGTTTGTTCCTTTTCATTCTTTTTTCTCTAATCTTGTCTTCACACCTTATTTCAGTAAGTTGGTCTTCAGTCTCTAATATCCGTTCTTCTGCTTGATCGATTTGGCTATTGATCCTTGTGTATATCTTACAAAGTTCTCGTGCTGTGTTTTTCAGCTCCTCAGGTCATTTATGTTCTCCTCTAAACTGGCTAGTCTAGTTAGCAGTTTCTGTAACCTTTTATCAAGGTTCTTAGCTTCCTTGCATTGGGTTAGAACATGCTCCTTTAGCTCACAGGAGTTTGTTATTACACACCTTGTGAAGCCTACTTCTGTCATTCATCAATCTCCTTCTCCAGTTTTGTGCCCTTGCTGGAGAGGAGTTGAGATCATTTTGAGTAGAAGAGGCATTCTGGTTTTTGGAATTTTCAGCGTTTTTATGCTAGTTTTTCCTCATCTTTGTGGATTTATCTACCTTTGATCTTTGAGGCTGATGACTTTGGATGGGGTTTTTGTGTGACGGTCCTTTATGTTGATGTTGACGTTGTTTCTGTTTGTTAGTTTTCCTTATAACAGTCAGGCCCCTCTTCTGCGGGTCTGCTGCAGTTTGCTGGAAGTGTACTCCAGACCCTGTTTGCCTGGGTATCACCAGCAGAGGCTGTAGAACAGCAAAGATTGCTTCCTGCTCCTTCCTCTGGAAGCTTCGTCCCAGAAGGGCACTGGCCTGATGACAGCTGGAGCTCTCCTGTGTGAGGTTCTGTCAAGCCCTGTTGGGAGTTGTCTCCCAGTCAGGAGGCATGGGGGTTAGGGACCCACTTGAGGAGGGAGTGTGTCCCTTAAGAGAACTGGTGTGCTGTGCTGGGAGAATCCCTCTTGTCAGGATCAGCTGCTGTCTTCAGAGCAGGCAGGCAGGAACGATTAAATCTGCTTGTGCTGTGCCCACAGCCACCTCTTCCCCAGGTGCTCTGTCCCAGGGAGATGGGGGTTTTGTCTGTAAGCCTCTGACTGGGGCTGTTACCTTTCTTTCAGAGATGCCCTGCCCAGTGAGGGGGAATCTAGAGAAGCAGTCTGGCCACAGCTGCTTTGCTGCACTGTGATGAATTTGCCAGTCCATACCTCCGAGACTCCTTGGAACTGTCAGGGAAAATGGCCTACTAAAGCCTCAGTAATGGCAGACGTCCCTCATCCCATGAAGCTCAATTGTCCTAGGTTGACTTCAGACTGCTGTGCTGGCAGTGAGAATTTCAAGCCAGTGGTTCTTAGCTTGCTAGGTTCTGTGGGAGTGGGACCTGCTGAGCGAGACCACTTGGCTCCCTGGCTTCAGCCTCCTTTCCAGGGGAGTAAATGGTTCTGTCTCGCTGGGGTTCCAGGCATCACTAGGGTAGGAAAAATACTCCTTCATCTAGCTCTGTGTCTGCCCAAATGGCCACCCAGTTTTGTGCTTGAAACCTAAGGCCCTGGTGGTGTAGGCACACAAGGGAATCTCCTGATCTACAGATTGCAAAAACCATGGAAAAAGTGTAGTAACAAGCTAGGCAGCACTGTCCCTCATGGCTCCCCTGGCTCGGGGAAAGAGGTCCCCTGGCCTCTTGAACTTCCTGGGTAAGCAACTCCCCACCCTTCTTCTGCTTGCCCTCCATGGGTTTGACCTGCTGCCTAACCAGTCCTAATGAGAGGAACGGGGTACCTCAGTTGGAAATGCAGAAATCACCTGCCATCTGGATTGGTCTTGCTGGGAGCTGCAAACCAGAACTGCTCCTATTTGGCCGTCTTCGGCTTCATCCTTTTGTGTTTTTAAGAACAGTCTTCCCTATGAATTTTACCAAAAAGTGTACTCAGTACAGTAGTTTACTAACTCTACTTTTGTCATACACTAGAAACATCTTAATATCTACAAAGACTAGATGTTGAAAATTAGGACTAATTTGTCCACTTATATGCACTATATACACAGCACAGTAAAAGAAAATGCAGACATAAGGGACAATGGTAAAGTGTGCCTCACCATAAACACACTGGTATTTCAATTACCCTTTGCCCTTTCTGCTCCTCTTTCCTCCCTGAGCCAACACACATATAGTAATGTGTACTGCTCAGATAAGTGGTTTGATCCATTTCCCAAAGACAATATTTCATATGAATCAAAAGGATATCTACAAAGTGTTATTTACTCCCTCTACTTTTAACATACTTTGTGCACTTCTAGAAAGACTAGATGTTTCAAATAAGGACTTAAATTTGTCCACTATATACACAGGTAACAATGGTTATATCTGAAAGTGTCTTCTAAATAGGAACATTCTGGTCTAAAATCTTTCATTCCTTCTAACTCCTCTCTACCACCAACCTAGTGGATATAGGCATATGTGTCATTTAGAACTGATGTTATCATTTCACTTCCAAAAGTCCTTTTCAGAAGATAGCCTTTCTATGAATTTCAACAAAGTGTACAAAAATAGAGTTAGTAAACTAACTCTCATAAATTGTTATAAATTGGCAACCTCTTTAATATCTAGAGACTAGACTAGATATTATAAAATTAAGACTACTTCATCCAGTATACACACAATATATACAGTATAGCAAAGTTAAATGCAATGCATGTAACATATAGGTAATGGATTAAGCTGAAATTTTCTAGTAAACATTAGCAAAACACTTTTTATTTTTTATTTTTTATTATTATACTTTAAGTTTTAGGGTACATGTGCACATTGTGCAGGTTAGTTACATATGTATACATGTGCCACGCTGGTGCGCTGCACCCACTAACTCGCATCTAGCATTAGGTATATCTCCCAACGCTATCCCTCCCCCCTCCCCCCACCCCACAACAGTCCCCAGAGTGTGATATTCCCCTTCCTGTGTCCATGTGATCTCGTTGTTCAGTTCCCACCTATGAGTGAGAATATGCGGTGTTTGGCTTGGATGAAATTGGAAATCATCATTCTCAGTAAACTATCGCAAGAGCAAGACACTTTTTGCAATATCTTCCTTCCAATCTCCCTCAACCCAATGAACATGTACAGAGAGGACGCTGTTCACAGAGGTGGTTCAACAATGCCAGTTCCAAAAAGTATTTCTCATTACTTTTAAAAGATATTTACAGAAAGTGTTATTCTACTACTTCTATTTTTAAATACACCAAGCACTTCCAAATATCTAGAAAGATTAAATATTTCATATAACTTGTCCACCATGTACATGGCACTGTTAAATAAAATTGCACACACATAACAACAGTTATAATCTGAGGTATCTTCTAAACATGACCATTTTGGCCTTGAAGTAGTCCTTCCTTTCTTCTCTCTGCCTTTATTTCAGTAGACAAGTATAGGCATGTGTCATACTTTAGAAATGGTTGAACAAATTTAGATCCAAAAGTTATTTACAGAAGACAAGGTTTCCTATGAATTTCAACACAAAGCTTACAAAAAGTGCTAATTTTACTAAGTACTTTGTCATACACTGCCAGCCTCTTTAACATCTAGAGACTAGATGTTGCAAAATTAGGACTCATTTGTTCATTATATGCGCTATATACAGAGCAAAACACAATGCACAAAACATACAGAAAAATGGTGCCTGAAAATGTGCAAGTATGAGCACACTAGCATGTTACCTTTTGCAGTTTCATCCGTCCCAGCTCCTCTAAACTACTGAGCAAGTATAGACAGTACTATACCACTCACAAAGATGGCTTAATAATTCAATTTCCAAAACACAGTATTTCCTATGAATTTCAGCAAAAAGACATTTACAAAGTGAAATTTTGCTACCTCTACATTTAACATACATCAGGCCCTTCTAAACATCTAAATAGACTAGCGGTTTCAGGTAAGAAGTTAATCTGTCCACTATGTACACTGCAGCCTTGAATAAACTGCATACATGTAACAATAGTTATAATTTGAAGGAGTCTTCCAAATGTGAACATTCTGGCCTAAAAATCTTTCCATCTCCATCAACCCAGTGGGCAAGAATGCTCAAGTTTTCAGAAGACAATCTTCCCTAGGAATTTAAAAACAAAATGTACAAAAATATTAGTTTGCTAACTCTACTTTTGTAATTCACTGGCAACCTCCATAACATCTAGAAAGACTAGATGTAAATTAGGACTTGTTTTCCTCTATATACACTTTATACATAGATAAGTAAAAGAAAATGCACAAACATAAGATATAATGGTTAATCTTGCCTCACTGTAAGCACACTGGTGGCACAGAGCTCTCTGCACAGCCTCCTCCTCCTCCTCTCCTGAACTGGCGCATAATACAATGCATATTACTCAACTTGTGGTTTGGCCCTTCCCCCTAAAACAATGTTTCATTCGAATTTTAACAAAAAGATACTTACAAGATGTGTTATTTTACTACTTCTAGTTTAAACATATATCAGGCACCTCAGAACATCTAGAAACACTAGACATTTCAAAAAAGTGTAGCATTGTCAATGATCTATACAGTAGTAGGGAATAAAACGCACACAAAACAATGGAAAGAATATGAGAATGTCTTCTGAATATGACTAGTCTGGCACAGAACCTTCTTCTTTTCCTTCTCAGGTCTTCTTCTTCATGCCCTCTAACCCACTGAACAAATGTGGTTGTGTCTGTCGTTCCTGGTATGGCTTCCAGAAGTGGTCCAACAATTCCATTGCGAAAAGCCATTTCCAGAAGACATCTATTTTCTATCATTTCTTTTTGAACAAATGAGAATTTATAAGATGTGTGATTTTCTAACTTTATCATACATCACAACCTCTTTCCATCTAGAAGGGCTAAATGTGGCAAATGTTTTCTATTTAAAAGTTGGGGCGGGGGCAGTTGAGAACCGCTTTCTCACTTTACACACGCAGGGCCTTCTATAAACGGTGGTAATTAAATCTTCCCAAAGGGTAGTGGGCATCTCCAATACGCCAAATGTGGCCTGTTCCACCACTTCTCTCTTCCCACATCCAGGTCTGGTAGAGAAGGAAGACCAGTGGCCAGGTGGCCGCTATCCGTCGTTGTCTGGGACACTGCTCACCTTCCGGCCGTTGTTAATGCCGTTGTTCCTGTCGTCAGGACTAGGTCGGTCTCGACCAGCTGGGACAGAGCGGTCCGATCTGCCCGCGCCCCGGTGGCAGGCGACCCACCTTCCCGCGCCCTCCACACCCTAACGGCCTCCGCTGCGAGTTGGGGCGGTCGCCATGCTTCCCGGCCCCCCACGCCCGCAGCCACTCAAATGCGCTGCATCCTAGCAGCTCGGCAGGGGCTTAGTTTAGGCCCCGCAGGGCTGGGCCGGGAGACATGGAGGCCGGCGGGGTCTGGGCTGAGAGAGGAGCTGCCATCAGTCACGGAGGTGGGGTAGGGAAGAGAGGTTCGCGGCTTCTTCAGGCCTGGGCCCGCGAGGGGAGCCACAGCGAGGGCACCTGGAGCCTGCAGGGCAGAGGCTGCGGGAGGTCCTGAACCCCCAGCCCCTCCGCAGGCCCATGGTCAGCGCGTCCCACCCGGGTCTCTGCCGGAACTCCACATTGTCTCTATCCAATCCACCACTGATGGGCAGGCCTATGTCTCTGCTGTTGTGAATAGTGCTGCCATGAACATGAGTGCGTGTGTTCTTTTGGTATAATGATATATTTTCCTTTGACTAAATACGCAGGAATGGTATTGCTGGGTCCAATGGTAGCTCTGTTTTTAGTTCTTTTGGAAAATCTCCAAACTGCTTTCCACAGTGGCTGAACTAATGTTCATTCTCACCAACAGTGTATAAGCGTTCACGTTTCTCTGCAGCCTCCGCAATATCTGTTGTTTTTTGACTTTTAAATAGCAGCCATTCTGACTGGTGTTAGATGATATCTCATTGTGGTTTTGATTTGCATTTCTCTGATGATTAGTAATGATGAACAATTTTTTCATCTAGACAGAAATCAATAGGGAAACACTAGACTTGACATACACTTTGGACCAAATGGACCTAAAGACGTTATAGAACATTTCATCCAACAGCAACAGAATATTCATTCTTCTCAAGTGCAAATGAGACATTATCCAGGATCAAATATTAGGTAACAAAATAAGACTCAACAATTTTAAGAAGATTGAAATCATATCAAGTATCTTTTCTGACCACAAAATTATGAAAGTAGAAATGAATAGAAATAAATAATAGGGGAAAATTTGAAAATATTACAAATGTGGAAATTAACCAACATGCTCTTGAATAAACAATGGGTTAATGAAGAAATCAAAGGGAAGTTAAAAAATATCTTAAGACAGATGAAAATGAAAATGCAACGTACCACAACTTATGGGATGTAACAAAAGAAGTTCTTAGCAGGAGGAAAGTTTATAGTAATAAATGCCGATATTGAAAAAGAAGAAAGATCTCAAACAACCTAATGTTACATTTCAAGAAACTAGAAAAAGAGAAGAGCAAACTAATCCCAAAGTTAGCAGAAGGAAGGAAATAACAAAGATCAGAGCAGAAATAAGTAAGAGATTAGAAAACAAAAGAACACATTTGCAAAACTAACAGTTCAGTTTTTGAAAAGATAAAAACAATTGACAAAACTTTAGCAGACCAACTAAGAAAAAAAAGAAGACTCTAATAAAATAAGAAATGAAAGAGGAGACATTAAAATTGAAACTACGCAAGTACAAAAGATCATAAAAGAATACTACGAACAATTTTACACCAACAAATAGGATGACCTAGAAGAAATGGTTAGATTTCCAGAAACATAACAACAATGAATCATGAAAAAATAGAAAATCTGAACAGACTAATGAGTAAGGGGGTTGAATCAGTGATAAAAGTGTCCTAGCAAAGAAAAGCCCAGAACCTGATGGTTCATGGATTGGAGGAATTAATATTATTAAAATGTCTGTGCTGCTGAAAGTGGTATACAGATTCAATGTAATTCCTATAAAAGTTCTAATGACCTTTTTGTTTCACAGAAATAGAAAAAGCAATTCAAAAATTCATATGGAATGACAAAAATCTTAAGTAGCTAAAGCACTTTTGAGCAAAAAGACCAGAGCTGGAGGCATCACACTACCTGATTAAAGATATATTACAAAGTTATAGTATTCAAAACAGAAAGGTACTGGCATAACAACAGACACATGGACCAATGTAATGTGATAGAGAGCCCAGACATAAACTCATGCATTTGTGATTAATTGATTTTTGCCGAAGATGCCAAGAATAAACACACTATGGGGAAAGGACAGTTTCTTTAATAAATGATGCAGGGGAAATCAAATACCCACATACAGAAGAATGAAATTGAACCCTTATCTCACACCATGTGTAAAAAGCCCACTAAAAATGGTTTAAAGATTTAAATGCGAGACCTGAAAATGTAAAACTACTAGAAGAAAGCATAGGGAAAAATGTCCCTGAAATTAATCTTGGCAATACTTTCTTGGTGATGATCTCAAAAGCTCAGGAAACCAAAGCAGAAGTAGACAAATGGGATTACCTGAAACCAAAAGCTTCTCTACAACAAAGTAAATAACAGATTGAAGAGACAACCCATGGACTGGGAGAAAATATTTACAAACCATACATGGCTAATATCCAAAATATGTAAGAAATGCAAACAACTTAAATTTGTTAGCAAGAAAACAAATAACGCCATTTAAAACTGAGCAACGGACTTGAATGGACATCTTTCAAAAGACCAATAGATATATAAAAAAGTGTCTACATCACTAATCATCAGGGAAATGCAAATTAAAACAAAACAAAGAGATATCACCTCATACCTGTTAGAATGACTATTATCAATAAACTAAAAGGTAATAAGTACTGACAAGGATGTGGGGAATCCTTATATACTAATGGCAGGAATGTAAATTAATACAGGCATTATTGAAATCAGCATGGAGATTCCTCAAAAAACTAAAGATAGAATTACCATAGGATCTAGCAATTATATTTCTGGATACATAGCCAAAGAGATTGAAATTTGTATTTTAAAAATATGTTAGAGACCAGCCTGACCAATATGGTGAAACCCCATCTCTACTAAAAATACAAAAAAAATTAGCCGGGTGTGGTTTGCACCTGTAGTCCCAGCTATTCAGGTGGCTGAGACAGGAGAATTGCTTGAACCTGGGAGGCCAAGTTTGCAGTGAGCTGAGATTATGCCACTGCACTCCAGCCTGGGCTACAGAGCAAGACTCCATCTCAAAAAAAAAAAAAATGGGTAGATTTTCCTCTAATTTGGTTTTAACGTCTCTCTTTGAAGAGTGGCTAGAAACTCTAGCCTGGCTCTGATGGGCTCCAGTGGAGGTGGTTGTGGTTGTGGATGTTTTCGGTGTTCTTTTCATGGAATACTTCCTTATCCTGATGGAGAGCTAATGCCTAATTGTCCTATTTATGACCAGGTGTCCCTCTCACTGGAAACTTGTTTTCACTGGCAGACACCATTGTGGCTTTTGTCTGACTAGTGTGTCCAGTTCATTCCTACCAAGATTGCCACTCTCTAAGGGAGCCTTGTCCAGAAAAAAAAATTAATTTTAGGTGTGTCAGGTGAGACGCCAAGAAGACACATAAAAAAAAATAGTATAAGTAGTTTTATTACTTAAAGATTCCAGAGAGAAGAGGGCAACTTGCCTCACAGGCCTAATGGGAGAAAGGGCATCCCTTAGAGACATGCATGTGCAACCAGTGGGTGGGTAGCGAGAGAGAGTGAGTGACAGACCAGAAAGCCAAAGCCCTTATTGGAGTACACAGCATTATCCAAGCAGGGAGTAACTGATTGCTGGGTTTAGAGCAAGCAGGCATGATTTCTTGGGAGTTAAGTTGTATTGAGAGGTGTTCACTGCTGCAAATCTGCAGTCCATGTGGGGTGTGGGGATCAGTGGGATAAGTCAAGTAGGTTGTATCTAGGTGTCCCACACGGAGGTGGTAACCAAGAGGCCAAATATCTGGATTGACCACCTGAAGAAACTGGGAGAGGAGAACTCAAAATTGTGATAAGGGTGACTAAGTCCTGCTTCTGGCATGAGGAAGTTCAATTATATATTGAAAATGAACGCTGAGGTAACATAAACTCATAAGAATTCACTACAGATATCTGCACTACCATGTTCATTGTAGCATTTTTCACAATAGCTGAGGTATGAAAGGAACCTAAATGTCCATCAACGGATAAACAGATAAATATATAAAAGGGATATAATGTGATATATATGAACCACATTATCTATATAAAATGGAATACTATTCAGCCTTAAAGAAAAAAGGGAAATTCTGTCTTTACAACAACATTCATGAACCTGCAGGACATTATGCGAAGTGAAAGAAGCCAGACACAGAAGGACAAATACCACATGATCTCACTCTTATGTGGAATCTAAAAAAGATAAACTCATACAAGTGGAGAGTAGAATGATAGCTACCTGGGGGGCAGGGGATGGAGAAAGGGGGGATTTTAAACAAGTAGATTTAAATGTTCTCACTATAAGAAAAATAAGTATGTGAGGTGATGACTGTGTTAGCTGGACTTAATCATTCCATATTGCACATATACATATATCAAAAGATCACATTGTATCTAATCAATATATAAAATTATTTGTCAATTAAAATAATAAAAGATTGGAGTAATATTTAAGATTTTTTTAACATTTTGCAGGAAAAATCTTGGAATTGAATTTAAAAGACAACTGGGAAGGCATAAATAATATAGGTCAGTCTCAAAGAGCCCCTCATTAATAAGGAACAGATATGCAGTTTAGTCTTTATGTATTCTAGTTTTTCTGTTGAATGACTCTCAAATCTCTCCTTTTTTTCCAGTTGTCTTGTACATTTGAGCCTTAGCCCCACGGGAAACTGAAAAAAAAAATCGGACGGCTCAGTAAAACCTCTTCCTTTCATTGTAAATGTTACTCACAGCATCTTTTCCCATGTTTGTTGGTGACAAATTCACTGTCATCTCAGTAAGAGTATAACATCATGCTGAAGATATTTCTGTGAAGAGTTTTGTACTGAGAACATCATACCAGGACAACTCCTTGAAGGGCATTAATTGCAGCTTTGGGATTTATACTCCCAAAGGCTGCAGTCAATGAAAGAGTATCCCGTTATTCTTTTTGTTTCCATAAAGATTACATTTGCTCTGGGATAAAGGGTCCATCCCGTGATACCTTGAATGCCCTAAAGTATTCCCACATTCTGCTAAAAAGCAGATCTTTTGGACAAACTCAGGCTCTCTTTTCTGTAGCAATGACAATCACAGTTATTTCCAGACTCTGTTCTTCATAGTTAGATTTAAAACATTGGCAAAAATGTTATAAGAAGGCAATTAGGTTGATGTTTTTAGGTTGTATGGCAACCAGAGAGCCCCTTCATCAGTTTATACCTGATGAGGTTGTAGGCCAGGTAGAGAGTGACAGGGAACAGGGACAAACACAGGAAGGTCAGTACTGAAAGAAGTTGGTGCACTTCTTAAGGGGTAGACAGCTTCCATATTTCAAAATTGCAGAAAGTGTAGATTTTAAATGTTCTTACTACAAAAATATGATGGTTGTGGGGTGATGGATATGTTAACTAGCTTAATATAATCATTCTATAATGTATATATACATCAAAACATTACAGTGTACTCCATAAATATATACAATTATTACTAGTCAATGAAAAATTAAGAAAACAAACCAGATATAGTATAAAGGAATGGATGTGACACAAATTGGCATAATGTCTCTTAATAATAATTGGGGAAGGAAGAGACACTCAGCCATCCATTTTCCCTATAGTATTTGATTTAAAAAAAGAGAGAAGATATTTTATTCTACAACTCATAAAAGCTACATTTGATAGGGTCTTCATTTCCCTCTTTTCCACCAAGAAGAAAATTGAAGCTGAGACTTTTCTCTACATGAGTTCTGGGGGTTTTTTTGTCCCTTATTTCCTATCCCTTTTATCAACTCCGGAGGAATGCTGAAAGATGGGTCATATAACAGATAGTTATCAGATTCCACCTTTTAATTACTGTAATAAGGAACTCAGGCAGCTGCATTAGGAAAGAAAATTAGGTCGGCATCAGCAAAAGTATCCACAGCATTTGAGTTCAAGTATCTTATGGCATATTACCTTTCATCTTAGGGAGATTTAAAAAAATCCTTGGAATTTTCCCATGATTTCTCAAAAGGTTAATGCTCATTCCATTACCAACAATATGGAAAAATGTACAGTATCTTTGTACCAGTCTGGAGCATTTGCACAGATTTGGCCCAAGTTCAATGTTCCTAGCTCTCCAGCTGTAACTCAACCAGTTAGGCAACTCCTTACATCTTTTTCAAGAGTCAAGATTACAATATTTGAGTTATTAAAAGTTTTTCAAAACACTGAAGGTGAGTCGGGTGTAGATATTAGTTTTTTGAGACAGAGTCTTGCTCTGTCACCCAGGCTGGAGGGCAATGGCATGATCTCAGCTCACTGCAACCTCCGCCTCCTGGGTTCAAGCGATTCTCCTGCCTCAGCCTCCAGAGTAGCTGGTATTACAGGTGCCCACTACCATGCCTGCCTGGCTAATTTTTGTATTTTTTAGTAGAGATGGTGTTTCACCACGTTGGTCAGGCTGGTCTCGAACTCCTGACCTCAGGTGTTCCACCTGCCTCGGCCTCCCAAAATGCTGAGATTACAGGCATGAGCCACCACGCCTGGCCTCTTTTGCCAAATTTATCAGAGAGTATAAGAGGAAGAGTTGGCTGTGGCAGGAGGGGAGCAGAAGGGGGATGGCAAAACTATTTAGGAATATTGAAATGCTGGGTTCCTGTATTTTATTGCAAAAACTATATCATAAAAGAGTGTTTATCTTTCTCATGCAAGATTGGTAATGTGCAAGAGAAAATAAGCAACTGAAAATCAAGCTATCAAAGCATATTTGAATTTCTTCATTTTAAAAAAATAACTACAAGGTGAATTTTCTGGATTTTATACAATGTTCACGTATCTTTCTACTAATATTAGTTAATGTCTGTTCAGAAGCTCCATTAAAAATTGTGGAAAACCCAGAAAATACAAATTATAAATTGTGACTCAGAATTTAAAGTATAGTTCAGTTATTGGCCTAAAGCATATACAGTTTTGTAGAAACCATGTTTAAGTCTTCTTGTCCTTGTCTAACAAACTTGTTATACATTCTTTCAACTTCGCATACCACATTCAGACCTCTCTTCACTGTTGTGCATCCAAACACTCTCCATTTCTCTCTTACCAACCTATGTTTTTGTTAGACTCTGTAATCTTTATGTCTTCCAGTAATATAGTCTCATTTACCTTTGGAAGCATTCTATCACCGATCACTCTATTTTGCTGTATTAATCAGCTTTGTGTATATTGTGAATTTTTATAAGTTGGTGTGTGCGTGCATATTCTCTTTAAACTTTGATTTGTGCATTATTTTATTTGTCTAGAAATAAACTGCTAGCATAAATAGCATTTGATTCTTTCTATAATCATATTCAATTATTTCTTTTCAGTTAATATTTTAAAGTGACTATCTAATTGCTTTTTAATATGGGAAATTCCTATCTATAAGTAAGATCAGTAAGACTGCTGTTATTCCTTTCTCTGTAATTGCAAAATTGGAAATAGCCTGAAAATATAAAAATAATTTGACTTTTTAAAGTAAAAAATCATTTTTCATAAATATTGTGTTCCTGATTATGGACTATCTTAGTCTTCATTAATCCAAATGTTAATTCAGGGATGTATATAAAGAACTCAGTAACTTGAGAAGCTATTGCTTGTATCTGTAGCTGGATAAATATCTCAATGAAGCATATAAAGGGAACTGTATAAAAATTCTACTACCATTATGGTGCACACTCTCTGGAAGTGGGATACTTTTGTCTTCAATCTGTTTGCAAGTGAGCGGTTGACAATGCATGGACAGACTTTGAGTTTATGT
The DNA here is from genome assembly GCF_000001405.40 of Homo sapiens. Classification (NCBI taxonomy): domain Eukaryota; kingdom Metazoa; phylum Chordata; class Mammalia; order Primates; family Hominidae; genus Homo; species Homo sapiens. The sequence continues at coordinate 439,212 of NT_167245.2, forward strand.
GGTTCTTTCTTTAGGTATAAGAAAAAGATGAATGATGATTAAAAAAAATGCAAGTTCGGAAGACTTCTTTATTCTACTTGGATTTTCTAATTGGCCTCAGCTGGAAGTAGTTCTCTTTGTGGTTATCTTGATCTTCTACCTGATGACACTGACAGGAAACCTGTTCATCATCATCCTGTCATACGTGGACTCCCATCTCCACACACCAATGTACTTCTTCCTTTCAAACCTCTCATTTCTGGATCTCTGCCACACCACCAGCTCTATCCCTCAGTTGCTGGTGAATCTCCGGGGCCCGGAAAAGACCATCTCGTATGCTGGTTGCATGGTTCAACTTTACTTTGTTCTTGCACTGGGAATCGCAGAGTGTGTCCTACTGGTGGTGATGTCGTATGATCGTTATGTAGCTGTGTGTAGACCTTTGCATTACACTGTCCTCATGCACCCTCGTTTCTGCCACTTGTTGGCTGCGGCTTCTTGGGTAATTGGTTTTACTATCTCAGCACTTCATTCCTCCTTTACTTTCTGGGTACCCCTTTGTGGACATCGCCTAGTGGATCACTTCTTCTGTGAAGTTCCAGCACTTCTGCGTTTATCATGTGTTGACACCCATGCAAATGAGCTGACCCTCATGGTCATGAGCTCCATTTTTGTTCTCATACCTCTCATTCTGATTCTCACTGCCTATGGTGCCATTGCCCGGGCTGTACTGAGCATGCAATCAACCACTGGGCTTCAGAAAGTGTTTAGGACATGTGGAGCCCATCTTATGGTTGTATCTCTCTTTTTCATTCCAGTCATGTGCATGTATCTCCAGCCACCATCAGAAAATTCTCCTGATCAGGGCAAGTTCATTGCCCTCTTTTATACTGTTGTCACACCGAGTCTTAATCCTCTAATCTACACTCTCAGAAACAAGCATGTAAAAGGGGCAGCGAAGAGACTATTGGGGTGGGAGTGGGGGAAGTGACAGGGAAATCATGTTGTCTGTTGTCATTGTTTTTCCTAGGGTCTTAGCCATCTTGAAAGGTGGTTTCCCTGCTTCTTTGTGATTTATTTTTGTTCTAACAGCTCACAAAACAGAATAGTTCAGTATCACATTTGTTGCTCTTTTTATTATTTAGTTCTGAAATATTATGTTGAGATAAAGTTTCTGATTAGTGCCACTTTGTTCTTTTACAATTGTATATTTTATTTCTGTGAAAATTGTGGACTGTGGTTTCAACGTAAATAAATGTGCATGCGAATAGTTATGAGGAGATTATTTCAAAAATGTTGGGAATATTTCTAACAATGTGCTAAATTATGAACTGATGATATATACAGAAAGAGAAGGGCAATATTGCAAAGACTTAGGCTAAAAAGGTTTTTGGTTATTGAATAAACCTTAAATGAAGCTAAAAATAGTCACAGCAAAGAAAAATGGTAAACATAATGAATAACATTGTTTAAGATATGGTAAAGGATATATCATAAGTATTTGGTTGAAAGACACTTTTTAAAGACACTAAATTATCTAATTTATCCTGTAGGTCTACATACTTGTCACATTGAACAGTAAACTAATATCTCTTTAAAATGGCTCTTTCGTTCATCTGTCCATTTATTCATTAACTTATTCTTTATTAGCTAAATCTTATTGAATGTGTACTCTCTTCCAGTTTGTGAAATTCTTGGTAACGTGTATAAATATAACATACTCTGTCTGAACAGAACACACTCTCTGTCAGGAAAAATGGCAACATAAAAGATGAAGTATCTGTGCATGGCTTAATTTGTCACTGGGGGTAATGCTAATACATTAAGACAGCTTTTAAAAGTCAGAAACAATAAACTCTGATTACTCTTCAGATTGTATAAATCTTTCACTTTTTAAAAATCAAAAACAAGGCCGAGCACGGTGGCTCACACCTGTAATCCCAGCACTTTGGAAGGCCGAGTCAGGTGGATCATGAGGTCAGGAGACCAAGACCATCCTGGCTAACAAGGTGAAACCCCATCTCTACTAAAAATACAAAACAATTAGCTAGGCATGGTGGCACATGCCTGTAGTCCCATTGAAGCTTAACTTTTTTTTCACTTTACATGAACATTTTGAAATCACTACTAAATTCAATATTTTCAACATATTATTTCATCCGTATGTAAAATTATTGGGATTGCAATTGTTATGTTTTCTATAATCACATTTTTGAAAATAACCTGAAAATGCTGAAAAGAAAAGTTCCTTATTCATTAACAAAGAAAAATTTTGTGTTTTATGGAAATTATCTTCCTTAGCTAGGTTAGAAATTTCTTTCAATTACCATTTACCTAGAAGTCACCATAAAATGAATGGGAAGAACTCGATAGTTATTCTTCTATAAGGCAAATATATGAATAAAATATAAAATTAAAAAATTGTTTTCTATTTTTTGTGACTTTTTATTATGGTAAAATTTCAAACTTAGAGAAGAATTGCAAAAAAGTAGTACAAAGACTGACATTTACCCTATAACCAGATTAAGCATTAGTTTACATTTTCCCCCAAAGCTTTGTTATATCATCTATCTATCTATCTATCTATCTATCTATCTATCTATATCTCTATCATCTATTATATCTATCTATCTATCTATCTATCTATCTATCTATCTATCTATCATCTATCTCTTTTTCTGCACTAGCTGAGAGTAAGTTGGAGATGCCACGTACCTTTACACCAAGTACTTTTTTTTTTAATTATTAGGTCATTTTTATTCCTTTTAAATTTTCTATTTTGTGTTAATTATTTGTCTGCATTCTATGTACATAACTGTATTGGAGTTTCAGTTTCATATTAAGTTGTATAAACTTTTGTGTTCCAAGGTTATACAAATTCATATGTATTTTCTTAGTTCATTGCCTCTTATTTTGGTTTGTTACAATTTGTGATGTTAAAAGTCTAAAAATGTGTGCGTGGTTAATACTATCTATTGTTCATTAACATTGTGGTTTCTTCCTTTTCTTAATGCTATAATGTTCTTTTATTATAATTATTATTATTATACTTTAAGTTCTACGGTACTTGTGCACAACCTGCAGGTTTATTACATATGTATACATGTGCCATGTTGCTGTGCTGCACCCATTAACTCGTCATTTACATTAGGTATATCTCCTCATGCTATCCCTCCCCCCACCACACAACAGGCCCCGGTGTGTGATGTTCCCCTTCCTGTGTCCAAATGTTCTCATTGCTCAATTCCCACTCATGAGTGAGAACATGCGGTGTTTGGTTTTTTGTCCTTGGGATAGTTTGCTGAGAATGATGGTTTCCAGCTTCATCCATGTCCCTACATGGACATGAACTCATCATTTTTTATGGCTGCATAGTATTCCATGGTGTATATGTGCCACATTTTCTTAATCCACTCTATCATTGTTGGACATTTGGGTTGGTTCCAAGTCTTTGCTGTTGTGAATAGTGCCGTAATAAACATACGTGTGCATGTGTCTTTCTAGCAGCATGATTTATAATCCTTTGGGTATATACCCAGTAATGGGATGGCTGGGTCAAATGGTATTTCTAGTTCTAGATCCCTGAGGAATCACCACACTGACTTCCACAATGGTTGAACTAGTTTACAGTCCCACCAACAGTGTAAAAGTGTTCCTATTTCTCCACATCCTGTCCAGCACCTGTTGTTTCCTGACTTTTTAATGATTGCCATTCTAACTGGTGTGAGGTGGTATCTCATTGTGGTTTTGATTTGCATTTCTCTGATGGCCAGTGATGGTGAGCATCTTTTCATGTGTTTTTTGGCTGCATAAATGTCTTCTTTTGAGAAGTGTCTGTTCATGTCCTTCGTCCACTTTTTGATGGGGCTGTTTGTTCTTTTCTTGTAAATTTGTTTGAGTTCATTGTAGATTCTGGATATTAGCCCTTTGTCAGATGAGTAGCTTGCAAAAATTTTCTCCCATTCTGTAGGTTGCCTATTCACTCTGATGGTAGTTTCTTTTGCTGTGCAGAAACTCTTTAGTTTAATTAGATCCCATTTGTCAATTTTGGCTTTTGTTGCCATTGCTTTTGGTGTTTTAGACATGAAGTCCTTGCCCATGCCTATGTCCTGAATGGTATTGACTAGGTTTTGTTCTAGGGTTTTTATGGTTTTAGGTCTAACATTGAAGTCTTTAATCCATCTTGAATTAATTTTTGTATAAGGTGTAAGGAAGGGATCCAGTTTCGGCTTTCTACATATAGCTAGCCAGTTTTCCCAGCAGCATTTGTTAAATAGGGAATCCTTTCCCCATTTCTTGTTTTTTTCAGGTTTGTCAAAGATCAGATACTTGTAGATGTGTGGTATTATTTCTGAGGGCTGTATTCTGTTCCATTGGTCTATATCTCTGTTTTGGTACCAGTACCATGCTGTTTTGGTTACTGTAGCCTTGTAGTATAGTTTGAAGTCAGGTAGCGTGATGCCTCCAGCTTTGTTCTTTTGGGTTAGGATTGGCTTGGCAATGCGGGCTCTTTTTTGGTTCCATATGAACTTTAAAGCAGTTTTTTCCAATTCTGTGAAGAAAGTCATTGGTAGCTTGATGGGGATCGCACCGAATCTATAAATTACCTTGGGCAGTATGGCCATTTTCGCGATATTGATTCTTCCTATCCATGAGCATGGAATGTTCTTCCATTTGTTTGTATCCTCTTTTATTTCATTGAGCAGTGGTTTGTAGTTCTCCTTGAAGAGGTCCTTCACATCCCTTGTAAGTTGGATTCCTAGGTATTTGATTCTCTTTGAAGCAATTGTGAATGGGAGTTCACTCATGATTTGGCTCTCTGTTTGCCTGTTATTGGTGTATAAGAATGTTTGTGATTTTCGCACATTGATTTTGTATCCTGAGCCTTTGCTGAAGTTGCTTATCAACTTAAGGAGATTTTGGGCTGAGATGATGGGGTTTTCTAGATATACAATCATGTCATCTGCAAACAGGGACAATTTGACTTCCTCTTTTCCTAATTGAATACCCTTTATTTCTTTCTCCTGCCTGATTGCCCTGGCCAGAACTTCCAACACTATGTTGAATAGGAGTGGTGAGAGAGGGCATCCCTGTCTTGTGCCAGTTATCAAAGGGAATGCTTCCAGTTTTTGCCCATTCAGTATGATATTGGCTGTGGTTTTGTCATAAATAGCTCTTATTATTTTGAGATACGTTCCATCAATACCTAGTTTATTGAGAGTTTTTAGCATGAAGGGCTGTTGAATTTTGTCAAAGCCCTTTTCTGCATCTATTGAGATAATCATGTGGTTTTTGTCTTTTGTTCTGCTGGATTATGTTTATTGATTTGCGTACGTTGAACCAGGCTTGCATCCCAGGGATGAAGCCCACTTGATCATGGTGAATAAGCTTTTTGATGTGCTGCTGGATTCGGTTTGCCAGTATTTTATTGAGGATTTTTGCATCGAGGTTCATCAGGGATGTTGGTCTAAAATTCTTTTTTTGTTGTGTCTCTGCCAGGCTTTGGTATCAGGATGATGCTGGCCTCATAAAATGAGTTAGGGAGGATTCCCTCTTTTTCTATTGATTGGAGTAGTTTCAGAAGGAATGGTACCAGCTCCTCCTTGTACCTCTGGTAGAATTCGGCTGTGAATCCGTCTGGTCCTGGACTTTTTTTTGGTTGGTAAGCTACTAATTATTGCCTCAATTTCAGAGCCTGTTATTTGGTCTATTCAGAGATTCAACTTCTTCCTGGTTTAGTCTTGGGAGGGTGTATGTGTCGAGGAATTTATCCATTTCTTCTAGATTTTCTAGTTTATTTGCATAGAGGTGTTTATAGTATTCTCTGATGGTAGTTTGTGTTTCTGTGGGATCGGTGGTGATATCCCCTTTATCATTTTTTGTTGTGTCTATTTGATTCTTCTCTCTTTTCTTCTTTATTAGTCTTGCTAGCAGTCTATCAATTTTGTTGATCTTTCAAAAAACCAGCTCCTGGATTCATTGATTTTTTGAATGGTTTTTTGTGTGTCTATCTCCTTCAGTTCTGCTCTGATCTTAGTTATTTCTTGCCTTCTGCTAGCTTTTGAATGTGTTTGCTCTTACTTCTCTAGTTCTTTTAATTATGATGTTAGGGTGTCAGTTTTAGATCTTTCCTGCTTTCTCTTGTGGACATTCAGTGTTATAAATTTCCCTCTACACACTGCTTTAAATGTGTCCCAGAGATTCTGGTATGTTGTATCTTTGTTCTCGCTGGTTTCAAAGAACATCTTTATTTCTGCCTTCATTTCGTTATGTACCAGTAGTCATTCAGGAGCAGGTTGTTCAGTTTCCATGTAGTTGAGTGGTTTTGAGTGAGTTTCTTAATCCTGAGTTGTAGTTTGATGGCACTGTGGTCTGAGAGACAGTTTGTTATAATTTCTGTTCTTTTACATTTGCTGAGGAGTGCTTTTCTTCCAGCTATGTGGTCAATTTTGGAATAAGTGTGATGTGGTACTGAGAAGAATGTATATTCTGTTGATTTGGGGTGGAGAGTTCTGTAGATGTCTATTAGGACCGCTTGGTGCAGAGCTGAGTTCAATTCCTGGATATCCTTGTTAACTTTCTGTCTTGTTGATCTGTCTATTGTTGACAGTGGGGTGTTAAAGTCTCCCATTATTATTGTGTGGGAGTCTAAGTCTCTTTGTAGGTCTCTAAGGACTTGTTGTATGAATCTGGGTGCTCTTGTATTGGGTGCATGTATATTTAGGATAGTTAGCTCTTCTTGTTGAATTGATCCCTTTACCATTATGTAATGGCCTTCTTTGTCTCTTTTGATCTTTGTTGGTTTAAAGTCTATTTTATCAGAGACTAGGATTGCAACCCCTCCCTTTTTTTGTTTTCCATTTGCTTGGTAGATCTTCCTCCATCCCTTTATCTTGAACCTATGTGTGTCTCTGCATGTGAGATGGGTTTCCTGAATACAGCACACTGATGGGTCTTGACCCTTTATCCAATTTGCCAGTCTGTGTCTTTTAATTGGAGCATTTAGCCCATTCAAGACATTTACACCAAATATTTTATTCAATGTTTCTTGTCTAAGAAGAAGGATGTTATTTTACATAAGTCCTGCACAGTACCCAAATCAGCAAATTTAATATGGGCACAATATTATTATCTAATCCATAGTCCACAGTGAGATTTCTTAAATAGTCCCAATAATTTTGTTAATAGCCACTTTTTAAAAAAATCCCAGATGATACACTGAGAAATCACATCTCACTAGTCTCCTTCCATCTGGACCAGTGCCACCGCCTTTGTTTGTCTACTTAAACTTGATACTTTTGAATTGTACAGGCAAACTATTTCTCTCAATTAGAGTTTTTCTCATGTGTCTTCATTATTAGAATTAGTCTGTGTATTTTTAACATAAATATCACTGAGGTGACATCATGCCCTGTTCAGAGCAGCATCTCAGCAGTCTCATGATGTTGGTTTGTACAAATACAGGTGATCTTAAGATCAATAAAATCACTTGGTTATGTTGGTGTCTGCCAGGTTTTTCTACTGTAAACTTCACTGTTTTTCAGTTTGAAATTAACAAGAAAGTTGTGAGGAGATATTTTAGACTATGTACATGTCCTGTTCCCCATCAAATTTTTATCCACTAGTTTTGCAATCATTTATGTTTTTCTTAACACCATCATCCCTTCTATGTTTATTAATTAGGGATCTACTGTTAGGAATGGCTTTTTCTTCACCATTCATTTATTTACTCTTACTTTTTATATCAGTACGAGCTTTATAATTCTTCTTTTGTTAAGTTCATTACTACTAATGGTTAAATTGTCCTACAATTAAATGATGGCAAGCCCTTCAAACTGGATTTTATTTTTTTTACGTATCCTGATGTTTTTTGGAGCATTTGTTTACTGCTTTTTGAGTTTACCTGATTTTTTTTTTCTCTCAGGTAATAGGAAATGAATGATGATGGAAAAGTCAATGCTAGCTCTGAGGGGTACTTTATTTTAGTTGGATTTTCTAATTGGCCTTATCTGGAAGTAGTTCTCTTTGTGGTTATTTTGATCTTCTGCTTGATGACACTGATAGGAAACCTGTTCATCATCATCCTGACGTACCTGGACTCCCATCTCCATACTCCCTTGTATTTCTTCCTTTCAAATCTCTCATTTCTGGATCTCTGCTACACCACCAGCTCTATCCCTCAGTTGCTGGTCAGTCTCTGGGGTGTGGAAAAGACCATTTCTTATGCTGGTTGCATGGTTCAACTTTACTTTTTTCTCACACTGGGAACCACAGAGTGTGTCCTACTGGTGGTGATGTCCTATGACCGTTATGCAGCTGTGTGTAGACCTTTGCATTACACTGTCCTCATGCACTCTCGTTTCTGCCACTTGTTGGCTGTGGCTTCTTGGGTAAGTGGTTTTACAAACCCAGCACTTCATTCCTCCTTCACCTTCTGGGTACCTCTGTGTGGACACCGCCAAATAGATCACTTTTTCTGTGAAGTTCCGGCACTTTTATGATTATCATTTGTCAATACCCGTGAAAATAAACTGACCCTCATGATCACAAGCTCCATTTTTGTTCTGCTACTTCTCACCCTCATTTTCACTTCCTATGGTGCTATTGCCCAGGCTGTACTGAGGATGCAGTCAACCACTGGGCTTCAGAAAGTATTTGGAACATGTGGAGCTCATCATATGGTTGTATCTCTCTTTTTCATTCCGGCCATGTGCATGTATCTCCAGCCACCATCAGGGAATTCTCAAGATCAAGGCAAGTTCATTGCTCTCTTTTATACTGTTGTTACACCTAGTCTTAACCCTCTAATCTACACCCTCAGAAACAAAGATGTAAGAGGGGTAGTGAAGAGACTAAGGGGGTGGGAGTGAGCCTGTGTTTGTGTGATATTAACAATATAATGGAGTCTTTCCTCACAATGATTCATCCATCTGTTCATTTATCAACCATTCTTTTATTCACTCACTCTGTTAGCACTTGCTGAGCATGTACTCTAACAAAGTCGTGGAGATCCTGGTAACAGGTAGGAATAAAACACATTCAGCTTAAATACCATTCACTTTTGGAGAAAACAGCTGTGTAAAATCAAGATAAAACATCTATAGTGATGTTTTTCCATGGCACAAACCTAATGAATACAAGAAAGACTTTTCCTGATTAAAAATAAGGCATGAAATTTGTTGTAAATATTGATAAAAGTGAAGTTATAATTCCTATGAAAAGATGATACTCTCAATTTTAAAATATCTAGAATATGTCTTTTAATTTTTTGCTGTTTAGGCAGAATACTTTTGTCTTCTATCTTTAGTTTAGTTGAATACACAGCAAAATACTTCAAATCCTTTCCTCCAACACTACTTATTTTTTGTTGGATGTAAATTTTGAGAGGAATTTTGGTCCATATTCTTTGATATCCAATATCAATAGTAAGACAATAAGTTTTATAAATTGTAGCAAGAGAGATGTTGAAGCAGTGTAGCAGAAGTCGGCGTCCAAGATCCCTCTTTTTTACAAGGCAGTGAGAAGGATATTGGAGGTGAAAGGAGCTGGTAAAGCTGACCTATGTAGCTTATAAAGAAATGGTCATCACCGTCTAGGTATACTTAGGTGAGGTAAGTGCTTGGAGCAACTGCATTACCTAAAGAGCTATGGAGAACATTTGAGGCAAATAGAGAGGCTCTGAAAATGACTTGAAGTCAATGGGTGTATAAAAGAATTATGTTTAAATATACTGGAAAATTTTTATGATAAAAGCTGTTATATGGAAAATGTTAGTTTATTTTTATTTTTAAGCTTGTTCTAATTTGAATATTTATAGTTAATAAGTATATTAGGAATATCAATATATGGTTTCAAATAAATATATTTTATAGAAGTTATCATTTTGTTCTATATATTATTGTCAACCATCTTCATCTGAAATAATTGCGTTATACCTAGAGCAATTTAAACTGACAGTCGTAGTCAAATGATGTGGAAAAATGACTAAAGGAGAATTCAGTATAATGTAACGTACTTGCAATGCCTGAGTTTTCTCTATAACTGGAATGTCAGCTGTAGCTTTTGAGGCCTGTGAGATTTGGATGTGATTGATTCACACACTATTTCCTAAATTATAAAAATAAAAATGCATCTCGGAACTTCCCTCCAATTTCTAGTGTGACTTGCAATTGCATTGATTCTGCTGACTTTATCTTCTTTCTGCATCTGTGACTCTTCCTTTATTTCTAACTAGGCATGAAAAATATGAGTCATTTGCCCTTGTCCTTAAGCTTACCCAAGAAATGAAGAACCAAGAATAGTGTATGTAAAATAACTTTTAGTAAACAATTGAGACCACTTAGGGTAAAACATCACATAAAAACAAATTTTTTAAAACTTAAAGAACATAGCTTAGCTCTTTGAACTATTTCCTACTATGGAAATCTTACGATTTGTAACACTTCCTGTAGCATCCTGGTTTCTCACCTACTCAAATATCCTCTCCATCTTTATTAAGTGAAAAGTTGTATTTATTTATGATATACAGCATAAAGTTTTGATATATGTATAATTATGCAATTATTATTCAAGCTAATTAACAAATCATTAACTCACATACTTACCTGTTTTGTGGTGAGAACATTTAGGATCTGTTATCTTAGCAATTTTCAAGTATGCAGTACAGTTTTATTAACTATAGTCACCATACTATAGAATAGATCTCTTGAATTTATTCCTTCTAACTGAAACTTTGTACCCTTTGACCAGCATCTCCCCATTTTCCCTCCCTCCACTGCTAACCCCTGACAAGCCTCATTCTACTACTTTGTGCTTCTATGAGTTCATTTTATGTAGATTTCACACATTAGATCGTGCAGTATTTATTTTTCTGTGCCTGGCTCATTTTACTTAGCAAAGTGTCCTCAGGTTTGCCATGTGTTTGAAAATATTAGGACTTCCTTCTTATTTTAAGGCAGAATAGTATTCTATTGTATATAAACTACACTTTTTAAATTCACTCATTCATTGATTGACTCTTAGATTGATTCAATACTTTGGCTATTATGAATTTGCTGCCATATTCATGGAAGTGGAGATAGCTCTTCAACATAGTGATTTAATTCTTTTGGATATAAACCCAGAAGTGTGATTGATGGATCATATGGCAGTTCTATTTTTATTTATTATTAATTAATTAATTAATTAATTTTTTGAGACAGAGTCTCGCTCTGTCGCCCAGGCTGGAGTGCAGTGGTGGGATCTCGGCTTACTGCAACTCCCACCTCCTGGGTTCTAGCGATTGTCTTGCCTCAGCCTCCAGAGTAGCTGGGACTACAGGTAAGCACCACCACGCCCAGCTAATTTCTGTATTTTTAGTAGAGACAGGATTTCTTGTGTGTGTGTGTGTGTGTGTGTGTGTGTGTGTGTGTGTGTGTCCTAGCAAATCTTTAATTACCCTAAGGCCGATGTAGTTTCTCGTATAAGTTCTTATGAAATCTTTTATTTTTCATTATTTTTATGTTTATTTTACTTTAAGTTCTCGGATACATGTGCAGAATGTGCAAATTTGTTACATAGGTATACATGTGCCATAGTGGTTTGCTGCACCTATCAACCTGTCATCTAGGTTTTAAGCCCCACATGCATTAGATATTTGTCCTAATGCTCTCCCTCTCCTTCCCCCTGAACCCGTGACAGGCCCCAGTGTGTGATGTTGCCCTCCCTGTGTCCATGTGTTCTCATTGTTTAACTACCGCTTATGAGTGAGAACATGCAGTGTTTAGTTTTCTGTTCCTGTGTTATTTTGCTGAAAATAATGGTTTCCAGCTTCATCCATGTCCCTGCAAAGGACATGAACTCATTCTTTTTTATGGCTGCATAGTATTCCATGGTGTATATGTGCCACATTTTCTTCATCCAGTCTATTATTGATGGGCATTTGGGTTGGTTCCAAGTCTTTCCTATTGTAAATGGTGCTGCAATAAACATACATGTGCATGTGTCTTTATAGTAGAATGATTTATAATCCTTTGGATATATACGCACTCATGGGATTGCTGGGTCAAATGGTATTGCTGGTTCTAGATCCTTGAGGAATCGCCACACTGTCTTCCACAATGGATGAACTAATTTACTCTCCCACCAACAGTGTAAAAGCATTCCTATTTCTCCACAGACTCGCCAGCATCTGTTGTCTCCTGACATTTTAATAATTGCCATTCTAACTAGTGTGAGATGGTATCTCGTGGTTTTGATTTGCATTTCTCGAATGACCAGTGATGACGAGCTATTTTTCATGTGTTTGTTGGCTCCATAAATGCCTTCTTTTGAGAAGTTTCTATTTATATCCTTTGCTCACTTTTTGATGGGGTTGTTTGTTTTATTTTCATAAATTTGTTTAAGTTCCTCATATATTCTGGATATTAGACTTTTGTCAGATGCATAGATTGCAAAAATTTTGTCCCATTCTGTAGGTTGCCTGTTCACTCTGATGGTAGTTTCTTTTGCTGTGCAGCAGCTCTTCAGTTTAATTAGATCCCATTTGTCAATTTTGTCTTTTGTTGCCGTTGCTTTTGGTGTTTTAGTCATGAAGTCTTTGCCCATGCCTATATCCTGAATGGTATTGCCTAGGTTCTTTTCTAGGGTTTATATGGTTTTGGGTTCTACATTTAAGTCTTTAAGCTATCTTGAGTTAATTTTTGCCTAAGGTATAAGGAAGGGGTCCAGTATCAGTTTTCTGCATATGGCTAGCCAGTTTTCCCACCACCATTTGTTAAACAGAGAATCCTTTCCCCATTGCTTGTTTCTGGTAGAGATGGGATTTCACCATGTTGGCCAGGCTGGTCTCAAACTCCTGACCTCAGGTGATCTGCCGACCTCGGCCTCCCAAAGTGTTGGAATTACAGGCATAAGCCACTGCGCCTGGCCCTATTTTAAATTTATTTAGGAAACTTCATAGTGTTTTCCCTCATGGCTGTCCTAATTTACATTTCAAAAAACAATGTAACAATGTATAAGAATTCTCTTTTCTCCATATTCTTCCCACCACCTGTTGTCCTTTGTGTTTTTCATAATAGATCTAACTGGTGTGAGGTATGAGGTGATAGCTACTGGTGTGGGCCTGAACTTTAGGTCCAGTGGAACCTAGAGTGGTGGGGATCAACCTGAAGCCTGGAACTGGCCTGGTTCTAGAGTGGAACTTGCTGCCTTAGGGGCTTGTCTGGAGCCTGGGTTTATGGGGCCCAGCTTATATGTGCTGGTCTGGAGGCTAGGCCCTTGGGTACTGGCATGGATCTTGGGACTACAGAGTCTGACCTAGGGGGCCAACTGGCACTGGAAAGTCCTATTTTGCCGTTTTATTGATATCACTTCTCACTCTTTAAATTTTTTTTGGCTTTTTAATTTTCTGGGCTCTTTTCTCCTTCTTCTCTTACAAAATATATACATTTTCTTTTATATGTGTAGACTTTTTGTTTTCTTTTGGGAGGTTATGTTGGGAACAGGCCCCCAAATCTGGCCATAAACTGGCCCCAAAACTGGCCATAAACAAAATCTCTGCAGCCCTGTGACATGTTTGTGATGGCCATGATGCCCATGCTGAAGGTTGTGGGTTTACCAGAATGAGGGCAAGGAACACCTGGCCCACCCAGGGCAGAAAACCGCTTAAAGGCATTCCTAAATCACAAACAATAGCATGAGTGATCTGTGCCTTAAGGACATGTTTCTGCTGCAGATAACTAGACAGAGCCCATCCCTTTGTTTCGGCCCATCCCTTTGTTTCCCTTAAGGAATACTTTTAGTTAATCTATAATCTATAGAAATAATGCTTATCACTGGCTTCGTGTCAATCAATATGTGGGTCAAACTCTGTTCAGGGCTCTCAGCTCTGAAGGCTGTGAGTGCCCTGATTTCCCACTCCATACTCTATATTTCTGTGTGTGTGTCTTTAATTCCTCTAGTGCCGCTGGGTTAGCATCTCCATGATCGAGGTGGTCTTGGCAAGGTTATAATTATAGGATATCTAATATTGAATCCTAGTCATATTAACCTGTGCTATTTAATTTGTAATCTGAAAGTGATCAGTTACTAATAATTCCCCCAAAGTGTAACACAGATATTATTGTTTTTATTGTTTTGTACTTTTCAAACCAGTCAAGCAAACTTTATGCAGCAGAACAACAAGAATGAGTTCTCTCACTTTATCAAACTGAAGGGAGGAGATAGGTGCTTGCATAAGCTCTGGCAACTTGTATATGAAAAAATCAGGGTAAGGACAATACATTTTTAGCTCTGACGACCTGTTCCTATGTCAACAACACTGAAGGCAAAGTAGAAGCCCTGAGATGCTCCCCTTGTCAGGCCTAAACCTCATGTCAACGTTTGTGAACTGGGATTTCCAAAGCAGAAATGAATTTATGCGGCAAGCAATTTTACTGTAGAACTAACAGTGAAGCCAGCTTTTTCCCAGATAGGAATGATGACTAACTGCACTGAAGCATCAGCTTCTTTTTCCCTGTAAACTTCTGTCAGGAATACCACAAAAGTGTGATTGTGTTCTCCTTAGTGCATCCTATCAGTATGTACATATTTCTTTATTCTGTTATGGGCAATATTGGCTTTGATTACTTGGTTAATGTTGTATCTGCCAGGCATCTTTACTATAAAAATTAGTGTTTTTCTCAGTAATATATAAGTGTCATGTGGGGAAGTATGTTGAGATTAGGTAGCATTCTGTTTTTTAACTAGCTTTCATCCACTAGTTTTATTAGTAAGCATCCCTTAATATTCCTTCCCAGAAACAATTATTACTATAGTGGTTTCCAAGTAATGATTCTTAAAGTTCCATCATTCCTTCCAAATTTAATAATTTGTGTGGCAGGCTAAATACTTCCTCTCCTTCTCTCAAATGATCACAACCTAATCACTGGGATAAGTTATTATATATTACCTTACGTGGCAAAATTAATTTTATTTTTTATATTTTAAGTCCTGGAAGACATGTGCGGAATGTGCAGGTTTGTTACATAGGCATACATGTGCCATGCTGGTTTGCTGCACCCATCAACTCATCATCTACATTAGGTATTTCTCCTAATGCTATCTCTCCCTAGCCCTCCCACCTTCTAACAGACCCTACTGTGTGATGTTCCCATCCCTGTGTCCATGTGTTCTCACTGTTCAACTCCCACTTATGAGTGAGAACATGCAGTGTTTGGTTTTCTGTTCCTGTTTTAGTTTGCTGAGAATGATGGTTTCCAGTTTCATCCATGTCCCTACAAAGGACATAAACTCGTTCTTTTTTATGGCTGCATAGTATTCCATGGTGTATATGTGCTACATTTTCTTATTCCAGTCTATCATTGATGGGCATTTGGGTTGGTTCCAAGTCTTTGCTATTATGAATGGTGCTGCAATAAACATACATGTGCATGTGTCTTTATAGTAGAATGATTTATAATCCTTTGGGTATATACCTAGTAATGGGATTGCTGAGTCAAATGGTATTGCTGGTTCTAGATCCTTGAGGAATTGCCCCACTGTCTTCCACAATGGATGAACTAATTTACATTCTCACCAACAGTGTAAAAGCATTCCTATTTCTCCACATCCTCTCCAGCATCTGTTGTTTCCTGACTTTTTAATGATCACCATTCTAACTGGTGTGAGATGGTATCTCATTGTGGTTTTGATTTACATTTCTCTAATGACCAGAGATAATGAGCTTTTTTTCATATGTTTGTTGGCTGCATCAATGTCTTTTTTAGAGAACTGTCTGTTCATATCCTTCGCCCACTTTTTGATGGGGTTGTTTTTTCTTGTAAATTTGTTTAAATTCTTTGTAGACTCTGGATATTAGCCCTTTGCCAGATGGATAGATTGCAAAAATTTTCTCCCATTCTGTAGGCTGCTTGTCCAGAAGGTTTCTTTTGCTGTGCAGAAGCTCTTTAGTTTAATTAGATCCCATTTGTCAATTTTGTCTTTTCTTGCCATTGCTTTTGGTGTTTTAGTCATGAAGTCTTTGCCCATGCCTATATCCTGAATGGTATTGCCTAGGTTTTCTTCTAGGGTTTTTATGGTTTTAGGTCTTACGTTTAAGTCTTTCATCTGTCTTGAGTTAATTTTTGTGTAAGGTGTAAGGAAGGGGTCCAGTTTCAGTTTTCTGCATATGGCTAGCCAGTTTTCCTAACACCATTTATTAAATAAGGAATCCTTTCCCCATTGCTTGTTTTTGTCTGGTTTGTCAAAGATCAGGTGGTTGTAGACGTGTGGCATTATTTCAGAGGCCTCTGTCCTGTTCCATTGGTCTATATATCCGTTTTGGTACACATACCATGCTGTTTTGGTTACTGTATTCTTGTAGTATAGTTTAAAGTCAGGTAGCATGATGCCTCCAACTTTCTCCTTCTTGCTTAGGATTGTCTTGGTTATACGGGCTCTGTTTTGGTTCCATGTGATATTTAAAGTAGTTTTTTTCTAATTCTGTGAAGAAAGTCAGTGGTAGCTTGATTGGGATAGCACTGAATCTATAAATTACTTTGGGCAGTATGGCCATTTTCATGATATTGATTCTTTGGTATGTTTTTGCAGTGGCTGGTACTGATTTTTCTTTTCCATATTTAGTACTTCCTTCAGGAACTCCCGTAAGGCAGGACTGGTGGTGACGAAATCTCTCAGCATTTGCTTGTCTGTAAAGGATTTTGTTTCTCCTTCACTTATGAAGCTTAGTTTGGCTGGATATGAAATTCTGGGTTGAAAATTCTTTTCTTTAAGAATTTTGAATATTCGTTCTCACTCTCCCCTCGCTTGTAGGGTTTTTGCTGAGAGACCTGCTGTTAGTCTGATGGGCTTCCCTTTGTGGGTAACGTGACCTTTCTCTCTGGCTGCCCTTAACATTTTTTTCTTTCATTTCAACCTTGGTGAATATTATGATTATGTGTCTTGGGGTTGCTGTTCTTGAGGAATATCTTAGTATTTTTCTCTGCATTTCCTGAATTTGAATGTTGACCTGTCTTGCTAGGTTGGGGAAATTCTCCTGGATTATATCCTGAAGAGTGTTTTCAAGCTTGGTTCCATTCTCCCCATCACTTTCAGGTACACCAATCAAACGTAGGTTTGGTCTTTTCACATAGTCCCATATTTCTTGGAGGCTTTGTTCATTCATTTTCATTCTTTTTTCTCTAATTTTGTCTTCACGCTTTATTTCATTAAGTTGAATTTCAATCTCTGATATCCTTTCTTCTGCTTAATCAATTCGGCTATTGATACCTTTGTATGCTTCACAAAGTTCTCGTGCTGTTTTTCAGCTCCATCAGGTCATTTATGTTCTTCTCTAAACTGATTAATTTAGTTAGGAAGTCTTCTATCTTTTCTTCAAGGTTCTTAGCTTCCTTGCATTGGGTTAAAACATGCTCCTTTAGCTTGGAGGAGTTTGTTATTACCCACCTTCTGAAGCCTACTTGTGTCAATTCGTCAAACTCATTCCCCATCCAGTTTTGTTCCCTTGCTCGTGAGGAGTTGTGATCCTTTGGAGGAGAAGAGGCATTCTGGATTTTGGAATTTTCAGCCTGCAAAAGGGTTTTTATAGATGTGATTAAATTCTCAACCTTGAGTTGGGATTATTATCCTGTATTAGCCAGGAGGGCTGACATAATCACACATATCCATATAAGAGAGAGGGCATGTAAGTTCTTTCCTGCCACATTCTTAGTCAGAGAGAAGATATTCTGCTGCTGACTTTAAAGATAGAGGAATGGGCCATGAGCCACGGAATACAGGTTGCTTCTAGAAGCTGGAGTAGTTGAGGAAACATGTTCTGTCCTAGAGCCTGCGGAAGATGTGCAGCCCTGTAGATCCAATTTAGTCTTTCTTTCTCCAGATATATAAGATATTTTTGTTATTTTAAACACCAAATTTGTAGTAATTTGTTTTAGCAACAATGGAAAACTAATAGAGTTGGCATTCTATATGAAGGAATAGCTTTCCTTTGTTCCTGTGTGTGTGTGTGTGTGTGTGTGTGTGTACGTGTGTGTATCAGGTATTATTTATCTATGTGTCTATCCATATATCTTAATATGGTCTTATGCATTCTTATTTCATTCTATCATTATTTTGATGCTGAAATGGTCAGTGTTTTGGCTAGAGAGGATCCCTTCTGGGTGGCTTATATGTCTTTTTTATATGTCTCCATACTTCTTAAAATATTTTCTTACTGTTGGCAAACTCAGATGAACTTGACATATCTGACACTTTTCTTTGGGAGGAACAGATAACTTTGTTTATCTTAGGTCAAATGACAAAAACTTTGAATAAAGCAATGGGGTTTCCTAATGAACAATTCACTAGAAATGCATGGAGTAGATAACACCAAGAGATGGTAATATTGTTGGCAAATATTTATTTTGTTATAACACCACATTTCTTTACCCTCTCAGGAAATGGAAAGTTTTTGTATTGTGCTTGAGAGTGGGGCAATGGTGAAGAACAGTGACTGGCTATGGGTTTGGGGAGTCATTTGGCAGGAGTGTAAATCCTTGAAATTTGAAGATCTTTCAAATTACCTTGATTCTCCTCAACAAAATACTAGCAAACCAAATCCAACAGCATATAAAAACCCAATTTCTTAGCTTTTTGTTGAAATAGCTATTTCCTCACGTTTTCTATCTTCTAGAGGTGACCTATATTCCTTGGCTCATGGCCCATTCTTCTATCTTTAAAGTCAGCAGCAGAGTATCTTTTCTCTGACCTCCAGCCTCCCTCTTATATGGACACAGGTGATTATATTAGCCTACCTGCCTAATCCAGGATAATATCCCCATCTCAAGATTCTGAATTTAATCACATCTATAAAAGTCCTTTTGCCATGTAAAGTAACATATAATCACAGGCTCCACAGATTAGGGTGTGAGCATTTGCATCGCAGAGAAAAAGCCTACCATGACCCCTTGCGTCCCAGGGATAAAGCCTACCATGATCAAGTAGGCTTTATCCCTGAGAGGAAAGGTTGGTTCAACATATGCAAATCAATACATGTGATTCATCACATAAACAGAAATGAAAACAAAAACCACATAATTATCTCAATACATGCAGAGAAGGCTTTCAATAAAATTCAACATCCCTTCATGTTAAAAACCCTCAATAAACTAGGCATTGAAGGAATATACTTCAAAATAATAAAAGCAATCTATAAAAAACCCACAGCCAACATCATACTGAATGGAAAAAGCTGGAAGCATTCCCCTTGAAAACCGGCATAAGACATGGATGCCCTCTCTCACCACACCTATTCAACATAGTACTGGAAGTCCTGGCCAGAGCAATCAGGCAAGAGAAAGAAATGAAAGGCATCCAAATAAGAAGAGAGGAAGTTATACTATTCCTGGTTGCAAAAGACATGAATCCGTATGAGAAAACCCCATAGTCTTGGTCCAAAAGCTCCTTGATCTGATAAACAACTTCAGAAAAGTTTCAGGATACAAAAGCAATGTACAAAAATTTAGCATTCCCATACATCAACAACATTCAATCTGAGGGCTAAATCAGGAATGCCATCCCATTCACAACTGCCACAAGAAGAATAAAATACCTAGAAATTCTGCTAACCAAGAACGTAAAACATCTCTACAATGAGAATTACAAAAAACTGCTGAAAGAAATCAGAGGTGCCACAAACAAATGGAAAAACATCCCATGCTCATGGATACTAAGATTCAGTATCATTAAAATGGCCACACTGGTCCAAAGCAATTTATAGATTCAGTGCAACTCCTATCAAACTACCGATGACATTGTTCACAGCATTAGAAAAAAACTATTTTAAAATTTGTATGGAACCGAAAAAGAGCCCTAATAGCCAAGGCAATCCTAAGAAAAAAGGAAAAAGCTAGAGGCATCACCTTACCCAACTTATACTAGAGGGCTACAGTATCCAAAACAGCACGGTACTGGAAAAAAAAAAAACAAAACAAAACAGATATATAGACCAATAGAATAAATAGAGAACCCAGAAATAGTGCAACACACCTACAAAAAAATATGATCTTCAACAAAGCTGACCAAAACAAGCAATGGGGAAAGGACTCCCCATTTTATAAAAGGTGCTGGGATAAGTGACTAGCTCTGTGCAGAAGATTGAAACTGGATGCCAACTTTGCACCACATACAAAAATCAACTCAAGATGGATTAAACACTTAAATGTTAAAATGAAAACTATTAATATAAAAACTCTGGAAGATAACCTAGGAAATACCATTCTGGACATAGGACTTGGGAAACATTTCATCATGAAGATGCCAAAAGCAATTGCAACAAAAACAAAAATTGACAAATGAAGCCTAATTAAACTAAAGAACGTCTCACAGTAAGAGAAACTATCAACAGTGGAAACAGACAACCTACAAAATGAGAGAAAATATCTGCATACAATGCATTTGACAAAGGTCTAATATCTGGCATCTAGAAAGAACTTAAACAAATTTATAAGAAAGAAACAATGCCGTTTAAAAGTCAGCAAAAGACATGAACAGACACTTTCCAAAAGAAGGTACACATGCGGCCAAGCATATGAAAAAATGCTCAATATCATTAATCATTAGAGAAATGCAAATCAAAACCGCAATGAGATACCATCTCGTACCAGGTGGAATGGCTATTATCAAAAAGTCAAATTATTAATAACAGATACATCAAGGTTATGGAGAAAAGGGAATGCTTATACACTGCTGGTGGGAATGTAAATTACCTTAGCTATTGTGGAAAATGGTGTAATGATTCCTCCAAGAACTTAAAACAGAACTACTCTTCCACCAAGCAATCCCATTAGCGGGTATATACCCAAAGGAATATAAATCATTCTACCATAAAGACATATGCACGAGTATGTTCATTGCAGCACTGTTCACAACAGCAAATACATGAAATCAACCTAAATGCCCATCAACAGTAGATTGGGTAAAGAAAATGTGGTACATAGACCCCATGGAATACTATGCAGTCATAAAAAGAATGAGGTCATTTCCTTTGCAGCACCATGGATGGAGCTGCAGGCCATCATCCTAAGCAAACTAAATGGAAAAGAGCCAAATACCACATGTTCTCACTTATAAGTGGGAGCTAAACATAAGAACACATGGATACTAGAAGGTGAACCACATGCACTGGGGTCTACTTGACGGTGGAGGGTGGGAGGAGGAAGAAGATCAGAAAAAATACCTATTGAGTACTATGCTTATTACCTGGATGATGAAATTATCTGTACTCCAAACCCCTGTGATGCGCAGTTTACCTGTATAACAAACCTGCACATATACCCATGAACCTAAAATAAAAGTTAAAAAAACCTAAACCCCAAATTACCTTCAACCTTTATGAGTTTTTACATTTGAAAGTTAAATCGATAACTTAATGACAATAATTCAACTCTCTCATGCTTATCCCCCTCATCTAACCCAAAACAAAACAAGATGGGATGCTGAGGTGAGGAACCTTTGAATTTTTAAATAGTATTAGGTCTAGCAGAACCTCAGAAAGACATGTTTACATTAAGAGGACTTTGACTATTGATATGGGCATGTAAGTTCTTTACTGCCACGTTCCTAGTAATTCCTGAATTGCACATGTATGAAATGACATTAATTCTCTCATACTTTAGGGTTGCTTGTTAGTGCCTAGAAGGAATACAGTCTCTGTGGCCAGTCTCCTTGGATCAACAAGAGCCTTGTAGTTTCCCATTTTTCATGCGCTAATAGTGAAAATGTTTAGAAAGCCCCATCTATCCTCCCACATTGGCATCCCACTGATGTGCTGTCCTGGTTGCTAGGTGCAGATTTAGGTTCCAAGCAGAACACTGCTAGTGTTCTCTGCAGTTTGTTGTAGAATCATAGTGTCTTGGCAACCAAAGGCAGATCTGGTGCTATGGAGGACCTGCTTACTGCTATGAGGTGTTACTTTATAGAGGTCCTGGAGAAGCTGATTGAGGCCACGTCAATGTTGCAAGGAGACATGAGACTCACATCAGAGTTCTATGGCTTAACATGGGGGATGGTGGTAAGTGCGGCTCTATTTGGATTTTGTAATTATAAAAGCCCACTTTATGTAGAGAGAAAAAAAAGAGTTTACCAGAGAAGTTTCTTCTGTAGTTGAAGACAAATGTAATGTTTTAATAAATTAGGCTGATTAAAAAAGAATATGAGCTTGGTGTGGTGGCTCATGCCTGTAATCCCAGCGCTTTGGGAGGCTGAGGCGGGTGGATCACCTGAGGTCAGGAGTTTGAGACCAGCCCGGCCAACATGGTGAAATTCCGTCTCTACTAAAAATACAAAAAATTAGCCAGGCATGGTGGCAGATCCTGTAATCCCAGCTACTTGGGAGGCCGAGGCAGGATAATCCTTGAACCTGGGAGGCAGAGGTTGCAGTGAGCCGAGATCACGCCATTGTACTACAGCCTGGGCAATGGGAGTGAAACTTTGTCTCTTAAAAAAAAAACGAGTATGAAGAGTATAAATTATTTTTCATGGAGTCTTGCCCTTAGAACAAGGCATTAAATCCTCTAAGTGTATAGGAAATTTGAGTTCAAAATAGATGCTTTGAAAAAAAGGAATGTTTTTGAAAAATGCGAATTTTTACAGATTTACAATGTAGAAGTGCAGTTGTGTTCCATGGATATATTGCATAGTGGTGAAGTCTGATTTTTCAATGTATCCATCATCCAAATAAAATACATTGTCCTCAGTAGGTAGTCTTTCATCCCTCAACCCTTTCCCAGCCTCCCACCTTTTGGAGTCTCCAATGCCTATATTTCACTCTATATCCACATGTACCCATTGTTTAGCTCCCACTTATAATTGATAATATGTAGCATTTGGCTTTTTGTTTCTGAGTTCTCTTAAGCCAATGGCCTCCAGTTACAGTCACGTTGCTGCAAAAGACATGATTTCAGTCTTTTTATGGCCAAGTAGTATTCTAAAGTGTGTATATATGTATACCACATTTTAGAAATCCAATAGTCCACTGATGGACACTCAGGCTGATTTTATTACTTTGCTATTGTGGATAGTGCTGCGATATACATAGACACATAGGTTTCTTTTTGATATAATGATTTCTTTACCTTTAGCTTGATATCCAGTAATGGGATTGCTGGATCGAATGGTAGCTCTATTTTTAGTTCTTTGAAAAGTCTCCATACTGTTTTCCACAGAGGTTGTACTAATTTACATTCCCACCAATAGTGTATGTAATCCTTTTCTCTATACCCTCGGCAAAATTTTTTTTTTCTGAATTTAATAATGGCCATTTTGACTGGCATAACATAATATCTCACTGTGGTTTTAATTTGCAGTTCTCTTATGATTAGCATTTGTTCATATGATTATTGGCCATTTATATGTCATCTTTAAAAAAAAAAGAACACCTTAAAGTTCAGAATGAATTACATTCATGGCTAGGTTTAGAATATGGGTTCCGTTACTGGAAGATGTGTTGAAGTCTTTTAAATAGTGAGAAGCTAATGCCAAAATAGCCTTAAAACTATGTCAGAAGAGGAAAAAAAACAACTTAAGACAGCAAAAAAAAAAAAAAAAAAAATTGGGTTTGGATGAGCATTTCAATCTTGAGAAAAACCTAACGTGTTTGCAAAAGAAACTCAAGGATTGGATGACAAGTTTACCACTGGGCAAAAGGATATTTATATCCTTGGATTAAGTGTTAAGTGATAAGAAATCAAATCAAATAACTGAGTAAACAGTTGATGAATATTCCCTACTATACTTGGAGAAGATAAAATGGATGCTGGGACTTAGAATTGGATCAAATCAGAACAAGTACCAATCAATGTTCAGTCAAAGGTGATTGATTTGTTTATGCTTCTTAAAATACTTTTTTTTTTCTTTTTTGTGATGGAGTCTTGCTCTGTCGCCCAGGCTGGAGTGCAGTGGTGCAATCTCAGCTCATTGCAACCTCCATCTCCCGGTTTCAAGTGATTCTCCTACCTCAGCTTCCCGAGTAGCTGGGATTACAAGCATGCACCACCAATTCTGGCTAATTCTTGTATCTTTAGTAGAGACAGTGTTTCACCCTGTTGCCCAGTCTGGTCTCAAACTCCTGACCTCAAGTGACCCTCCCACTTTGGCCTCCCAAAGTGCTGGGATTACAGGTGTGAGCCACCGTGCCTGGCCTCTTACAAGACTCTTCATGGAGAGAGAAATAAAATAGAAATTAGGTTGTATGAATAACATTGAATCTTGAAGCCTTTAAAAATCACACTGAACATATTCGGCATGAATTAAGCATTTTTTAAAATTATACTTTAAGTTCTGGGGTACATGTGCACAATGTGCAGGTTTGTTACATAGGTATACATGTGCCATGTTGATTTGCTGCACCCATCAACTCGTCATTTACATTAGGTATTTCTCCTAATGCTATCCCTCCCCCAGTGCCCCCCACCCCCCGACAGGCCCTGGTGTGTGATGTTCCCCACCCTGTGTCCAAGTGTTCTCATTGTTCAACTCCCACTTATAAATGAGAACATGCAGTGTTTGGTTTTCTGTCCTTGTGATAGTTTGCTGAGAATGATGGTTTCCAGTTTCATCCATGTCCCTGCAAAGGGCATGAACTCATCCTTTTCTATGGCTGCATAGCATTCCACTGTGTATATGTGCCACATTTTCTTTATCCAGTGTATTATTGATGGACATTTGGGTTGGTTCCAAGTCTTTGCTATTGTGAGTGCCACAATAAACATACGTGTTCATGTGTCTTTATAGTATAATGATTTATAATCCTTTGAGTATATACCCAGTAATGGGATCGCTGGGTCAAATGGTATTTCTAGTTCTAGATCCTTGAGGAATCGCCACACTGTCTAAGCATTTGTCTAGTAAGAAAATGTAATTTGAAAGTAAGGTTCAGAACATTTAACCAAATGTTCAAGTAATTTCTAAACTGTATTGAGAAAATGGAATAAAGTTTCATAGATTATTTGTATTAGAAAAAGTTAATTAGAAAGTTTTCAAATGCACATTAAGTGATAGATACACACACACACAAAACAAAAATTCTTAGAGAAAAAAATGAAAAAACTGACCTGTTCTTATCAA
The DNA here is from genome assembly GCF_000001405.40 of Homo sapiens. Classification (NCBI taxonomy): domain Eukaryota; kingdom Metazoa; phylum Chordata; class Mammalia; order Primates; family Hominidae; genus Homo; species Homo sapiens. The sequence goes on from NT_167245.2 coordinate 464,271, forward strand.
AGACATGATTTCCCACATTTAAAAAACCTTGTAATAGTTGATTTACAGTTAAGTTGACTGATGGAAATCTCACTGATTTAAGAAAATCTATATGAAAGTCCAGATACCAGTATTTTTTCCTATAAAAAGCTACGTAGTCAATATTAAGGCTTTGTAAACCAAGACACAAAACTGGAGTATTATGAAAGTACTTATATAACAAAATTAAAAATAAATTCTCACAATTTTTTTTTGTTGCTGAAACAAAAGCACTGAAAATAATAAATACTAGCAAGAATGCAAAGTGAGGGAAACTCTCTTTGATTGCTGGTAGAAATGCAAAGTGGTGCAACCACTTTGACTATTTGGCAATTTTTATAAAGTTTAATATAGTCTTGCCATATGACTTAACAATCACATTCCTAAGTATTTACCCTAGTGAATTAAAACTTAGGTCCGTGTAAAAATCTGCATGCAAATGTTTATATCAGTTTCATTCATAATTACTCCAAACTGTAAGCAACCCATGCCCTTCAACAGGGGAAAGATAATCTTGGGTATTTCCACACAATGATCTATGATTTTGTGGAAGTTGATTGATCAATGAATACTATTGATCAATGGGATGGAATGAGCTACTGATACATGCAACAACATGAATATATGTTAAGGGTATTTTACTAAATGAATGAAGCCAGACTTCAAAGTCTGAATATTGTATGATTTCATTCATAAGACATCTGGGGAAAAAAAACCCACTGGGATGGAAACACATCAGTGGTATCCAGGGCTTAGTGTAAGGGAGATTAGTTTATTACAAAGAAGACACACAGGGGAATTTTTAAATGATGGAGTTGTTTTGTATGGTGCTGCACTAGTAATACACAAGTCCATGATTTATTAATCCCTAAGTAGTGTATCACAAAATTGCACTCAAATGCATGCAAATAAACAAGCAAAAATATCACCAAGATGTGGGAAGATCCTAGAATGGTATGACAGTGGCAAATCAACCTCACTTTATATAAATATGTAAGCTAACAACACTGAAAAGGGTAGAGAAGAAGTAAAAAGTGGCCTAACTTACCTTGAGAAATAATGTTTTGATTAAAAAATGTCAGACTGTAGACAAAAGTAACTTTGCATAAATATGGTATTCTGAATAGTAAATTTGTTTCTCATGCGGGTTCAGCTAATTCTGTAATTGCTTCACATGCATACCAGTTGAACAAAAATATTAAAATATGAACAGTGGCATCCAGGTTTCTCCCTGTTGGTAAGAGAAGTTACAGAGAAGCAAGAAAGGAAGGCCAGAATGACCATTAGGGACTGTGTTAGAGTCAGAGTTATCACTATGACCTCATGTTTAAACACAAGCCCAAATGCACATGGACACACACAGATGGACAAATAAGGAAACAACGACAGATATGTGTGTATTCAGGGCTTACTGTGTAGACACACATTACCTAGCCCTTTCTGCTGAAATAGCCTAGAAACAATGTTACCCTCATAGCAATGTGCACATGTCACACTCAGATAATGTTTTCTAATGCCATTTTCCAGTGAAAAGAAACAGAGATCGTTGGAGAAATGTCTGATTATAAGATATTTCTAAGCCTGGTGAAGAAATATATAAGAGAAGCCTGGAGAAGAACCAGTAATACCAGAAATCAGGGAGGGGCCCTGAAGAGAAAAGGATAACAAAAGGATGAAGACCTGTCCAAGGGACCCAGCAGCTAACTTGAAAGAGCTCTCAATGGGTAAAGCTGGAGCAATTTCAACAACAAAATAAATAACATATCACTGGATTATAACCTGAAGTATAAAACGTATGAGTCCATACTCTTATAAATAAATGATTGAATAAATACATAAATGAGAAGAAGGGAGAAATCTTCCTTACTAGTCTATTAATAGTCCCCACTTTCAGATGTGGAGCTCATGATCTCCTTTGTTAAGTGTAGGCTGGACTCAGTGACTGTCTTCCAAGGAATAGAGTATGGACAGGTAACAATTGTAAGTTTCAGTTTTATTTAGTGAAAACACTACCTTAACCAAGTGATTAAAGTCAGCACCATCAGTGATGCCATGTAGATATTATGTAACCCCTGCTCTGATGGGATAAAAAGGGCACTTTACCTCTGTGGTCTCCTCTGCAAAAATTCAAAGGCCCAGTGTAATTGATGGCAGCTGAAACCCATCTGGACTGTGATGCCGGCTGTAGTAGGGGAGATGCAGGTGTGGCTGTGCGCTCCGTGGAGCCCCTGGAGCCGGGAACAGGCGGAAGCCCCAACCCCTTATGAGTTGACAGGGCAAGAGCCTTGTGCTCCCCAGGCTCAGCTGCAGTTGCCCAGCAGCGGCTGTGGACAGGACATCCCTGTGCGCTTGGGGTTCAGGAGCAGGCAGAAGCCCCACCCTCCCTGGTGCAGCTGCAGCTGCTCAAGCTGTGTCTACAAACCTGGGCATCCCTGTGTTCTTGGGTGCCAGGAGTAAGAGCCCTGCCCTCCTGGGCGCAGCTGCAGATGCCCAAGCTGCAGCGGCAGACCCGGGCATCTCTGCACTCTTGGGGGCCTGGGAAAGCCCTTTTTGCCCCCGCAGGCTTGGAGGTGCCTGCTCCTGGTGTCTGATCTCTCCCTGCTCCTGGTGCGTGCTCTGATCTCGGAGCGTGGTTGAGGCCAGGCCCAGGTGCTATTGCAACCTGGCCTGGTGTGCCCACACTTGGGGCAGCACTGACATGCCAGTCTTCTGCCACCTCAGCCCCCTCTGGGCTTTGGGCACCAGTAAGCAAGGGAGGGAGGCTGGAGGGGGTGCTGCTGAGGGCAGCTTGGCGCTGGCCTGCAGGTGCCTCTTGGCAGGAACAGCCTGGGCACCGTCAACAGTGGCAGGAGGCCCACAGGCTCCTGGGCAGAAAGGGACGGGTCCCCGGTGAGGCCCCACCTTCAACTCAGGGAAGGATTGAAGCCTGGGAGACGGGCTGCCAGCCTCGCAGACTGGAGTGGGGACTTACGATGCTTTTTCCAAGCCTGCCCGTGGCTGCCCAAGGACCAATCAGCAAGCACTTCCTTTCCTCTGAAGTCCATAAAAATTCCCAGACTCAGCCAGACACAAAAAGATGTCAGGACAACCAGCTGCAGAGAGGAATTACCTACCCTAGGGTCTCTTTTCTGCTGAGACCTGAACACTCTGTGGGATGACCTGTCTGAGGAGAGGAGCTACCCACTCCAGGGTCTCCTCTCTGCGGAGAGCTGAACACTCGTTAGGACACCCTGGCTATGGAGAGGAGCGGGTTTCCTCTCAGCTGTTCTATTGTTCAATAAAGCTCCTCTTCACCTTACTCACCCTCCACTTATCCACATACCTCGTGAGTGTGGGACAAGAACTTGGGACCCACTGAATGGCATGGCTGAAAGAGCTGTCACACAAACAGGGCTGAAACATGCCCTTTCCTCACCTCATTGTGGTTGACATAAAGGAGATAAGAGATGCAACTCTTTGGGGAGCCCAGACCTAGGAGCTCCCTGAGCCAGGGCTGTGACACCCTTTTGGGTGGTTCTGTGGTTCCTGGTGCGGAAGCTGCTTGCAGTACACCTGGTCCAGCCGCAGACTTGCAGGGAGATGGCACCCCTGTCAGTGCCTGGAACTGCCTGCCCTGCTGCAGCAAGCATGCCTGGCTGTGTGCAGTAGCTGGACCCCACACTTGCTCCCTCATACACACCTGCCACAGTAAACATACTGCAGTATGTTGGGAGATATTGGATTTTACCAAAAGCTTTTTCAGCATCTATTGAGATGATCATATGGCTTTTCCTTTTAATTCTGTTTATGTGGTGAATCACATTTGTAGATTTGCAGATGTTCAACCAATCTTGCATGCCAGAAATAGAGCCTTCTTGATTGTGGTGTATTAACTTTTTGATGTGCTGCTGGATTTGTTTGATTAGTATTTTCTCAAGGATTTTTCCTTCTATGTTCATCAGGGATATTGGATGGAATTTTTTTCTTTTCTTTCTTTTTTTTTTTTTTTATTAAGCTAACTCACCTAACTTAGTGTGGGTCACATATCTTGGCTTGATAATCCCAAGCTGTGCTTAGAAACCCAGGTAGCACCAGGACATCCTGCAGCTCAGGGTTGGGCTCTGGCTGCACTGTGGGATCTGATATGCTTCTGGGTTGCTGGGAAAGTACTCAGGTGAAGCAAGGCATTCAGCTGGGCTGTGCAAGCTGCACAATGCACCTGCTTCTCCAGGGCAGCTAGGCATAGGACCTGAGAGGAGCCTGCAGGCAGGAGGGCTTGCAGAACAGATGTGTCTTAGTCCCATAGGGAAGCCAGCCCTGCTCTCCTTTGGCTTGACAGTCAGCTGAGTCAAGAGCCTTGCAGAGGGAGATGGGAAGCTCTCAGGGATGTGTGTCTATGGCTACCCTCCACCAAAGCTGCCCAGCACACAAAAGCTCCCAGGCTCTGCACTGTCTGAAGTACTGTCTCTGCCTGTTCCCCAGGGAGATACCCCTGCCAGCTAACACATTTATGGGGGATATGGGGTCTCTCATAGCTAGGATCCCAGAGGTACATGACAAGAGTGAGCTGTCCCTCAGTTCCCTGGCTCACCAATTTCCCAGGAGCCATCTGGGGCTGGGAACTAGCCCTGGCATTCAGGTACCACTTCAGGGTTTCCAGATTTCTGACTCTACAGCCTCAGCTTCAGCTTTGCTTCTCCATACACTCAGTGTTTTCTCTCCTAAGATCACACATTGACTTTGTATCCTGAGACTTTGCTGAATTTGCTTATCAGCTTAAGGAGATTTTGGGCTGAGATGATTAAATCAACCAATTTATGTTGATTAACTCAATAATTTGGTCTCTCTCGGTGAAAGCAGTGCTTCCTGGCTGCAACTAATTGGACATCTTGTCCCTTCCCATCTGTGTAACACATTTTTTATACATGCTTTATTTTGTCATAATTTTAGCTTTACAGAAAAGTTGCAAAGATGGCAAAGAATTCCCATATACACCTCAACCAGTTTCACTTTCACTTAATGTTACATTTCTCTGGTACATTTTTCAAAATTCAGAAACTAACATTGGTATGTTACTACTACCAAAACTCTAGACTATCTTTGGATTTCAGCAAGATTTTCTTTAACATCCTTTTTTTGTTGCAGAATCCCATCCAGGACACTCCATTGCCTTTAGTTGTCATGTGTTTCAGTTTCCTGAATCTCTGTTATCTTGTTTTTCATGATGTTGATAATTCTGAGTACTGCTCAGGTATCTTACAGAATGCACTTCAATCATGGTTTGTCCAATGTTTTCTAATGGTTATGTTACGGGATCCTTGGGTTATCACTTCACCAGCTGAAAACCTCTGTGGCTAGTGGCACTTATGCTGGGGTTTTGCTCAGGCCCACTGGCCCACTCAGCCTGGCAGCCTGTGCTCAGCTTACATTACCAGCCTGGATACTGCACACAGCCAGGCATGCTTGCTGATATTTCTGGTTCTAGATCCTTGTGGGAGTGTAAATTAATTCAACCATTGTGGAATGCCACAGTAAACATACATGTACATGCATGTTTATAGTAGAATGATTTATAATCCTTTGGGTATAAACCCAGTAATGGGATTGCTGGGTCAAATGATATTTCTGGATCTGGTTCTAGATCCTTGTGGAATTGCCACCCTGTCTTCCACAATGGTTGAATTAATTACACTCCCACCAACAATGTAAAAGCATTCCTATTTCTCCACATCCTCTCCAGCATCTGTTGTTTCCTGACTTTTTAATGGTCACCATTCTAACTGGCGTATGATGGAATCTCATTGTGGTTTTGATTTGCGTTTCTCTAATGATGAGTGATGATGAGCTTTTTTCATGTTTGTTGGCTACATAAATGTCTTCTTTTGAGAAGTGTCTGTTCATATCCTTTGCCCACTTTTTGATGGGGTTGTTTTTTTCTTGTAAATTTGTTTAAGTTCTTTGTAGACTCTGGATATTAGCCCTTTGTCAGATGGATGGATTGCAAAAATTTTCTCCCATTCTGTAGGTTGCCTGTTCACTCTGATGATAGTTTCTTTTGCTGTGCAGAAGCTCTTTAGTTTAATTAGATCCCATTTGTCTATTTTGGCTTTTGTTGCTATTGCTTTTGGTGTTTTAGTCATGAAGTCTTTGTCCATGCCTATGTCCTGAATGGTATTGCCTAGGTTTTCTTCTAAATCTTTTATGGTTTTAGGTTTTATGTTTAAGTCTTTAATCCATCTTGAGTTAATTTTTGTATAAAGTGTAAGGAAGTGGTCCAGTTTCTGTTTTCTGCATGTGGCTAGCCAGTTTTCCCAACACCATTTATTAAATAGGGAATCTTTTCCACATTGCTTGTTTTTTTCAGGTTCATGGAAGATCAGATGGTTGTAGATGTGTGGTGTTATTTCTGAGGCCTCTGTTCTGTTCCATTGGTCTATATATTTGTTTTGGTACCAGTACCATGCTGTTTTTAAAACCTGTTTTATAAAAAAGGGAATTATTGTGAGACTTCAATGAGCCAGTGCATACACATCTAGATTTTGGACAGTGCCTGAAACATAGGAAGGATCTAATGAATGTAAGCCAGTTATCATTAATAGTATGATTAGCATTAATCATTAGTAATAATCATTACTCATAATATTGAGTCATTATTTCAGCTTGTCATGTGTATGAAAAAGCAGAGATATAATTTATTATTGGTAATCCCAGTGCTTATTGTAATTTTATAATATTATGATATGAAATGATTAAATGTATATGTCACTTCTTTGTTTCTAGCATAGTGCAGAGAACATAGTTTCCTCATAAGTGAAAGTCAAGTCAATAGTAGGAGATATTTGGTTATCTGAAGGGCATAGCTGATAACAGTAATTGACTCAGCAGCTCTTCCTTCTTATTCTATTATTTTCACAGCCTCTACTCCTCTTCACCTTTTATATGGCACTGGTGCCAGTTCATTTATCAATTCTTTTTTTTTTTTTTTTGCATTATCAGTAAATAAACTTATCCCTTGACAAGAGAATGGTGATTCCACTGTTATCTTAAACCTTTTCTTATTTATGCATCCTGCATATATCAAAAGAAACCTCAAATACCACTGATTCTTTTTCAATTAAAAAATTCCCACTGACTTTTTTATGTGTGGAGATATAATAAGCAAATTTTCATTCAAAAGTTTCAAAGGATAAGAAGGATTTTTGGAATCACTAAAAATACTTGATATTTATTTCAAGGTTCCCTGGAAACAAATTGGACATTCTGATTACTTAACATGATGCAACCCAGAGGTAATGATGTAGGTTAGATGATCTTGAAAGACCCTTCCCAATCATGGTAACATAATTCTCTGTGGTAGACACCACTCGCCTTTATTCTAAGTGTCCTAGAGATATCCATGCCTTTCTTTGTGTTGTGTTTCAAGGAAGTCTGGTGCAAAGACTGATACATGCAATGATGTTTTGAGCTTTCAACTCTTTTGCCATTCTGACTCAACTACCTTTTGCCCACAGATTGAGAATAAAATTATCATGTATCTTGCACTGCCTTAAGAACATATAAGTAAAAATCTTAAGATGAGGTAAAAGTGTGTTACAGATAATGTCTTCAGTCACCGGGATATTTTTGACTGACATGGGCTGTCCTTGCCAGGTTCCTAATGGATTTCCACAATGAGAAGCTGATTTTATAGACATTAGTAACATTTGCACTGTCACAGAGAGAAGGTTGTGGCTTTTAATAAAACCAGCCAGTATTTATTAAAGTCCTACTATTCTCACAATGTTGTGTCCTTTATTTTAACCTTAGGGATTCTGAGTCCCTCAAGTTTAATTGGTCATTGTGTCCCCAGAGGCAATAAGTTAACTCTATTCCCAATTGCACTGGTGGCATAATACTGACACATAGGTAGTTCACAAATTCTAAAACTAGGGTGAAGATTAGAGTTATAAAACATGAACTATGAAAAATAGGTTTGGAATGTATTAATTTGAAGAGCATAAGGCTAAATAAACATACAGCCACAAATTTCTTTATTTTTCATTTTTAAATTTTATAGCTGTATTGAGATATAATTTATTTACAATACAGTTCACCCATTTAAAGTGTACAAGTCAATGATTTTTGGTATATTTCATTACTAATTTATAACATTGTGGTAATATATAACATAAAATTTGCCATTTTAACTATTTTTAAGTGTACAATTTAATGGTGTTAATTATATTCATACTATTGTGTAAATCTTGCCACTATTTTCTAAACTTTTTCGTCATCCCAAACAGAAACTCTAACCCTTAGTGATAACTCTCCATTCCCCTCCCCCATCCCCTAGTAACTTTCAACCTACCTTATGTCTGTATGAATTTGCATGTTCCAGATATTTCATATTATTGGAAACATACAATTTTTGCCCTTTTAGGTCTGGCTTATTCATTTAGCATAAGATGTACATATTGCTTTATAGCCTGCTTTTTCACTTAGCAGCATATTGTGAGAATGTTCATGGTTAGGCAGGGACTAGGCAGTGGAGTTGGGTGGAATTTTGCAAACCATACTTAGGAGTTTGGATTCTGTTTTGTAGGACTTGGTCTCAGGGTCAAATAGGGAGTCTTTTGATGGTGTATATAGGAAAATGGTATTTCTATTGTTTACTGATTTTTTTGTGATGAATATGCTTGGACTAAATCTCCCAAAGATCTGTGGTTAAAATATTATTTATATCATATGATGTCATTTAACATAAATTAACACACTGAAGTTTAAGGTTAGCATTAATTCACTGGAGCAGAACAAGTAGAAATAATGAGATTGCAACTGGAATAGTTTTTGAAAATAAGAAGATTTATGCAATGTATAACTTAATAAGTGCTCACCAAAGATTTTCAGTGAAATAAAGAAAATTATAATTAAATTAAATATCTAGTATCAGCCTGGATATAGCCTGGATATATATTGTTTGTTTGTTTTGTTTTGTTTTGTTTTGTTTTTAAGACAGGATCTCACTCCCATGGCCCAGGCTGGAGTGCAGTGGTGCGATCACAGGTCACTGCAGCCTCGACTTCCCAGGCTGAGGTCATCCTCCCGCCTCAGCTGCCTGAGTAGCTGGTACCACAGGTGCACGCCACCAAGCCCAGCTAATTTTTGTATCTTTTGTAGAGATGGTGTTTTAATACATTGCCCAGGCTGGTCTCCAACTCCTGGGTTCAGGCCATCCACCTGCCTTGGCCTCTCAAAGTGCTGGGATTACAGGTGTGAGCCATGGCACCTGGCCACATGCTCGTATTTTAATGTATTTGTTTCCCCTTACTTTTCTTTTGTGTATCATTTTTTTGTTTTGAGATGGAGTCTTGCTCTTTTCGCACATGCTGGAGTGTAATGGCACGATCTCGGCTCACTGCAACCTCCGCCTCCTGGGTTAAAGCAATTCTCCTGCCTCAGCCTCCTGAGTAGCTGGGATTACAGGCACCCACCACCATGCCTGGCTAATTTTGTATTTTTAGTAGAGACGGGGTTTCTCCATCTTGGTCAGGCTGGTCTCGAACTCCCGACCTCAGATGATCTGCCTGCCTTGGCCTCCCAAAGTGCTGGGACCTCACCTGTAGTGTGAGCCACCTCCCGGCCATATCATGTATTTTTATAAATTGTAAACTGACATATGTAAAACAATCATTTTCTAATTTATAAAATTTTCTTGATATGCAGTTTTTGAAGCTATGTAACATTCTTTTTTAAATTAATAATTCATATATACATTATATATGTACATATATATACTTTCTCATTCTTCTACAATTAAATATATTTTCTGAATTTGTCACCTTATACTATAGATCATTCAGAATAAAGTGCTTTCCATATGTGATCTCTTTTAGACTGTTTATCAGAAATGATGTCAGTGAATTAAAAGTATTAGTATAGGCTGGGTGAGGTGGCTTACACTGTAATCCTAGCACTTTGGGAGGCTGAAGTGGGAGGATTACTTGAATTCAGGAGTTTGAGACCAGCCTGGGTGACATGATGAACTCCTGTTTCTACTAAAAATGCAAAAAAAAAAAATTAGCCAGGCATGGTGGTGCATACCTATAGTGTCAGCTACTCTGAAGACTGAGGTGGGAGGATTGCTTGAGCCTGGGAGGTGGAGGTCACAGTGAGCCAAGATTGTGCCAGTGCACTCCAGCTGGGGCAACAAAGCAAGACCCTGTCTCAAGAAAAAAAATTTTTAGAAGTGTTAGTATATAACAAATACATATTTCGAATTGCTTTTAAAAGGAATAGAATTGTTTGGACTTGAATTATAATAGAAAAGTAATTTTAGACAACTTATAAAAGCATAAATCTCACAAACATCATTGAAGAGATATACATATGTGTGTGTGTATATATATATATATATGCCTCCTCTTTTGATTTTCCTTATATCTTTTCAATTTTAATGTTGAATCCTAAATTATCCTCAGGGTTGTAAAGTTGCTTTTATTTTCCCTATTCCCCTTTAAATCCTAAGGTATACAATAGTGGTACTTCCTGTCATATCTTCATTTGCATTAGCAGTCAGACCCCTGAAATAAATCAGACAGATATTGGGATGACAGTAGCAAATTACCACAGATTGAAATAAGTAGTAGCCCCAATTGAATCTGCTGGAAGAGATATGTTATCCTTGATAGAGTATATTAGCATGTTACTGAGTACCCCGTATGCATACATTGATCTGGTAAATGTTTTCTTTTTCATCCTTATCAGGAAACATGATCAGGGAGTTTGCACTCACTTGGAGCTGACAATACTATACCATGTCCCAGAGCTATGCTAGGTTTTTCATCTTCCATCATAAAATACTGAAGAGAACGGGACTAGCTGTATATTCTGTAGGCCGTCACACTGGCCAACTATATCTAACACATCATGCGTATCAGACAATATGAACAAGAAGTGGTCAATACATTAAAAGCCTTGATAAGACACATGTGATCCAGAGAGTGAGTGTTGCACTCCATAAAGATTCAGGGACCTAAAGCATAAAAGTTTTAAGTGTTTATTGGTCTGGGGCACTATGAGACATTCTATCTAAAGTAAAGGATACATTTTTGCATTATGCATTTCCTATCATAAAAAAGAAGCAAAGTGCCTGGCAGACCTCTCTGTACTTTGTAGTAAGCATATTTGACACTATCGAGTACTGTTCTAATTCATCCACTAGGTGCTGTATTTGAATGGCCTTCAGGGTAAGAATGGGCTCTATAGCAAGTCTAAATTTCACCATAAATGAGGTGGAATTTATGGCAAGTTTATGGGAAGATCATAACAAAATTCTTAGGGTTTTGATAAAACTCTGCTATCTACAGCACAGGATTGTATACATTTCAAAAATAAAGCCCTGGTGTTTTACTGAATTCTGGGTAGAGAAATAACATCTGACCATGGAACAACAAATAACCATGCAGGCAAAACTACCCATATGAGCTGGGGACTGTCTGAACCATCAAGTTATTAGGTTGAGTGGATACAGAGCAATCACTGTAACACGGCATTAGTACATCCAGGATTGACCACAGCATGACTAGAGGGCAGAGGCAAACAGTATGAGCAAGTAGCCCAGGACTTCATGCTATTCACCACTTTTGCATCAATATCTCTTCTTCAGACCACACTTACGCCTCCAAGAGAGAACACTTCCAACTCTAATGGAGGAGAAAAATGTCAAGCTTGGTTCATTAATGGGTCAGCTTGGTATGTGAGTCCAAGTCAAAAAGGATGAAGATAAATTATAGCCTCGCTTACGGTGATCTTGAAAAATAGTAGTGAGGAAAACGCCTCCCAATGGACAGAGTTTCAGATGGTACCCAGTCATTCACTTTGTGTGGAAAGAGAAGTAGTTTGAAGTTAGAATATGTATAACTCATAGGTAGTGATAAATGGCTTAGGAGGCTTTTCAGGTGGCTGGAAAGAAAAAGATAGAAACACTTGGAAAAAAGAAGTCTGGAACAGAGGCACATGCATAAACATATAAGAGTGAAGGTATGAAGTGTTGCATTATTTGTATTACATGCTAAAACTACAAGATGGAATCCATCATAGAAAATGAATTAAGCAACTAGGTAGAAAACGTGACTTGGCGAGCAGTTATTGTCAAGAGCTTCTGACATTTGCCCTCATTATCCTACCTGCAATGCTAGAGCAATGAGCTTATGAATGAAGCCACCATGATAGTAGGGATAGAAGCAATGCATGGGTTTAACAGCATGCATTATAGCCACTGGTCAAACATCCAGTCTTCCATCAATAAGTGTCCCATGCAATGACTGGATAAAATAGTTTCCCATCAAAAGATCAACCAGTTATTTAATGTCAAGTTGATGACACTGGACTTTTTCTACTTTGAATGTAGCAATTTTTTTTGGTAGGAATAGATACACATACTCCAGGCATGGGTTTCTATTCCTGAACATAAGTTCTCAGCCAGCATGACTGTCTAAAGGCTTATAGGATGTTTGACGCAGCAGCAGGAGATCCCACATACCATTGTATCAGAAAAAAGGGCCGACTTAATGGCAAAGAAAGTGTAGGAGTGGACTTATGACCATGGAATCCATTGGCCATATCACATATTGCACTATCATAAGTGATCTATTAGAGTCATGGAGGGATCTGTTGAAGCTACACCTGAAATTCCAGCTCAGATGAAATGTCATCCTTCAAGACCCAGTACTTTAAATCAATTATCTTTCTATGGTGCTGTGTCCTCACTAGGAAGAATGCATGGTTTAGAAACCAAAAGGTGAAAGCCCTTCTTAGAATCCCTACCAGTAACTCATTTGAGAAATTTGTGTTTTTTTTCTCCACAATTATAAGCTCTGTGAGTTTAGAGGTTCTAGCTCTCTAAAGGGAAATATTCCCACTAGGGGGTACAAAAGGTACACTAGGAAGTGTATACTTTGTTTAATTATGATGGTAAATGACCAAAGGCAATGAGATTAACTAAAAAAAGCCATAGTGATCAGGGGCTCAGACACTTCCGGATCATGACACCAGGTAAACCACTGAGAGCAGGAGAGGTGCCAGATAAGGGTGAGAGCAACACAGAATGAATAGTAAGAAGGAGATGGTGACCATAGTTTGTAGGACTTAAGACCAGCCGCAGTGGTGGTCCTCTTCTAAGTTTCCTCCAGATACAGAGGCCCACTATAGCCCTGTAAGAGCTTTTCCCAGATCTTTTTTAATCAATTAATTAATTAATTTTTTTATACTTTAAGTTCTAGGGTACATGTGCACAACGTGCAGGTTTGTTACATGTGTATACATGTGCCATGTTGGTGTGCTGCACCCATTAACTCGTCATTTACATTAGGTATATCTCCTAATGCTATCCCTGCCCCCTCCCCCACCCCACACCAGATCTTATACAAAGGAGTAGATCTGAAATTAAAGGAATAGACAGTGTTGGAAGTTATAATGCTTTACTCAGATAACACTTTCAGAATGAAGGCATTATTACTTCAGCTGCTAGATGTGCTACAGGTAGATAGAGCTCAGCTGAGATCCTTCTTTCTGGGTTGCCTCAGCTAAACAGAGTTGCTTCATCTAAACATATGGCCCTTTTCCATGTAATCTGCATTCAACACTGACCAACAAGGAGATTTAAGGCTTGCCGTTGGCCTCAGCTCAGAACATCAATGAATTGTCATCTCATATTGAGAACTTCCTACAGGGTTCAGTGAAACTTTAGTAGTTTGCATTACAAACTTCCAAAGTAGGTAGTTTGCATTACTTCCTTTCCTCAATCATGCTACCCACCCTTTCCTTTGAAAGATGTTGATCCAAAAAATGTTCCCTAGTAAACTTTCTAAATGCTGATCTCCATCCCTGAGTCGGCTTCCTGGGAAACTCCATTCTCATCTCTCTCTCTATATATATATCTATATATAAAATATATACATTATATATGTAATATATAAAATACATGTATAATATATAATACATATGTATTATATGTATACAGGGAACAAGAAGAGTGAAACATTTAAGAAAGAAAGTTAATTTAGGGATGCATTAGCCAGGTTGTGTGTAATGAGAGCTCAGTTCTCTAAAGGCCTTCTGAAAAGCACACAGGATGTTTTTGCCTGAAGGGAGAGCTGCTGGACCATTTATTCCTAGTTAAAATTCTTCATTGTTGGAGGATTTCCCCTAGGGTCATTAAGCATTTTGTACTTCTAGGCAGCACTTGTCTATATGCCAAATGGGCTCCCATGGTGTCAGACAAGCCTTGGGGCCAAGGGAAGCCCTATACAGCATACTTGAGGTAGGTCACTGTCAATATGTGTGAGATAATCTGAGTTCACACACAACTGTCCCTTGCAGCTCTGCTGAAATTAGAGCTGGGCTGAAGAGATGTGATACACTGGTACTAGAGGCATCTACTTTAGAAGGTGAGATAGAAATGCTGTATTTTACATTTACAACCATAGGAATGGAGGTGTGCTGGCTTTTACCATGAACTCCCCCAGATAGTGTTCTGAAAAGCAGAGGAGGCCAACTAAAATAAAATCACAGGGAAAACTATATTTGCAGGAAGAAGATAATCTCAAGAGAAGCAGAGATTAAGAGTATTCTTGAATTTTGCATAGTAAAAACCATCTAGTCTAAGACTGTCTCCCCTAACCAAGGACCTTTTACAAATAGTTGATCCAGGGGGAAAAAAAAAAGCATCTACTTCAATGATTAGTAATTTAAAAGGAACTGGAAGAGATAAGACATATGGATGCATACATATATAAAAATAGCTAGATAGAGACCTGCAGGTGATAATATACAAGAAAGAAAATGGGGAAAGGAAAAGCAATCTGAATAGACAAAAAACGAAACCAGTAGTTAGTGGTTATGAAGTGGATGAAAATCGAAGGGTGGGATAAGAGGCAGGTTGATTCTGAACATGGAAAAATCTACAAGACTGAGATTCTTTAAAACATCAAACTACTCTTCTACTTTAATATAATATCAAACTCAAATTCACAACCAAAGTGGTAACATTTCATCACTAATTTGAAAAATTCTAAATAAAATAAAGGAAAAATAACACACACACAAAACAGAGAATATATAGATTTTCTAGAATGCACAGCATAGTAAAGACAAACATGAGTAAAATTATGGTGAAATTTAAGCCATGAGGGTCAGTGCATCTTAATGCCCTGGGACATTGTACTTGAGGGTTTACCAGTAGATTAATACCCTTTAAGCATGAGAATTACTGATTGAGAGAACTTCAAATGAATTTGCTTCTAGTGTGTTGATAAAGTTAAATGTGATTTATCATAGGTGGGTAAGAATATGGTTGGTAGATAGGAGACAACAGGGCTAGGATATTCAGAAAATAACCTCCAGCAAGCTTTGTAAAAGCAAAAGCATATATTGATGTAAAAACTTTACATATGTAATTGCATGATATACCATCATGTTGCTCAAACTGCATTAAAGTGTGATTGAGAATTCACCACAATGTATGTTGATGTAATAGTAAATATCAGATTATGTCATAATTTTTCTTAGAATTATGGCTTGAGTGATCTATTTGACACAGTTATTATTGTTAATGATTTTAAATATTTTCATCTAATTTCAAGCTTTTGGTTTTCTTTAATGTACTTTATCATTCTTCATCAAAGAAGGTCATGTAGAAATATAATGTTTCTTTTTTCTAGATGTTATTTTTACTCATGCTCTGCAAAACTTTGGTAATAAATTTTGGTTTCTGGAACAATCCATTGAACAGTTTCATCATCATGATAATTATTGCTAACTTACATTGAACAGTTACTTTGTGCCAAGAACACTTTTTAGTATTTCCCACATTTGCACATTTAATCTCTCCAACAAGCATATGTAGGTTTTTAATTTTGCTCATTTTCCAAATACAAAATCTAAGGAAAGAACTAAAGTAAGAACAAAAATGTTAACTACTTTTCCTAACATCACACAGCATGAAGGTGGCTGAGGGAGAATTCAAGCTCATCAATAACAGACAGAGTGAAAAGGAGGAATGGAGAAGAGGAGAATGAGAGAGAAAAAAGAGAAGATAAAGGGAGAAGATCCAGGGAGAGAAGAGGGGAAGCAAAAAAGAGAGAAACATGGGAGACAGAGAGTGAAATAAATCAAGATACAAGGTCACAGAGAAATAAGAGAACAAAAGAAATAGAGAAAGTTATAAAGCTAATAGGCAGTGATTAGAACTATGTAATAAATGTGGTAAATGTATACTCTTTGAGAGCACAGATGAAACACATCTAATATTTAGCAAAGTGATTTTCACTAGCAGGTGCTTACATGTATTTTATATAATATTTATAATGAACAATTTTAATCAGAGACAAAATATGAGGAAGATGTAAAAGAGGAAGAGAGAGAGTGAATGATGAATATCAAAGATTAAAGCACTTCACTAAATCTTGTATTTTTTCCCAAAATACAGCTGGTGAAAATCTTATCCTTGAGTAGAAAGGAATCAAACAAGTCATATACCACCCGTCTTCCTGTCTGTACTGGAACCATCACAGGCTTTTGAGGAACTACTTTTGAACCGTTCCCCAGAGAGGCATTTGCCCCAGTAGCTATGATTATAATTTGCAATGACAGCCACAGTGATTTCATCCTTCTGGGCTTCTCTAACAAGCCACATTTGGAGAAGATACTTTTTGGATCATTTTTATTTTTTATTTTTTGACTCTTGCAGGAAATATGGTCATAGTTCTTGTGTCCTTGAAGGATCCAAAACTCCACATCCCTATGTATTTCTTTCTTTCCAACCTTTCCTTGGTAGACCTCTGTTTGACCAGCAGCTGTGTTCCACAGATGTTGATTAACTTCTGGGGCCCAGAAAAGACCATCAGCTACATTGGCTGTGCCATTCAACTCTATGTTTTTTTGTGGCTTGGGGCCACGGAATATGTCCTTCTTGTTGTCATGGCTGTGGATTGTTATGTAGCAGTGTGTCATCCACTGCAAAATACCATGATCATGCACCCAAAACTTTGTCTGCAGCTGGCTATCTTGGCATGGGGGACTGGCTTGGCCCAGTCTCTGATCCAGTCCCCTGCCACCCTCCGGTTACCCTTCTGCTCCCAGCGGATGGTGGATGATGTTGTTTGTGAAGTCCCAGCTCTGATTCAGCTCTCCAGTACTGATACTACCTACAGTGAAATTCAGATGTCTATCGCCAGTGTTGTCCTCCTGGTGATGCCCTTGATCATTATCCTTTCCTCTTCTGGTGCTATTGCTAAGGCTGTGCTGAGAATTAAGTCAACTGCAGGACAGAAGAAAGCATTTGGCACCTGCATCTCTCACCTTCTTGTGGTTTCTCTCTTTTATGGCACTGTCACAGGTGTCTACCTTCAACCAAAAAATCACTATCCTCATGAATGGGGCAAATTTCTCACTCTTTTCTACACTGTAGTAACCCCAACTCTTAATCCCCTCATCTACACTCTAAGGAACAAGGAGGTAAAGGGAGCACTAATAAGATTGGGGAGGAGGACCTGGGATTCCCAGAATAACTAACAAGGTTAACATATGTTTACCTTTGCTTAACCTAAGAATAGAGAACAACCTCATCACAAAAAGCTGGAGATACACCTCCTAAGCCAAAAGTAGGAGAGAAAGAGCTGCATTCTGTTCAGGTTGAGATTTCAGTTTCCTTCATCAATCAATTGGGCCCTTAAATTCTTCATATTGTGGATTTAGACACAGTATGGTATAAAAATTAATATATTTAATAGCTATTGTCTTGAAAAGGACACAATGCAATTGAATGGGGGAGGAGGAGAAGACACAAGAAACACATTACTTGCAAAATAAAATACTAAGTAGTACGTTTCATGCCTTTCTATTTCGTTCTTTTTTTGTTCTATTTTCCTACAAGCTCCACCAGTGCTTTCAGTCCCAACAAGATTTCTAAAGTTTTGAGACAGAAACTTCTTGATCAACTTATATGTACCCCTATACTGTAATATGGCAGGTCTTGGTTTTAATTGCTTCTGTCTCTCTGTCTCAGCATGACCACTGTTGACCTGTAATGTGACTTTCACTATCCAATGCAAAGTGTTTGCCATGCCAAAGTCCACATTTACTGCTCTCTGGTGCTGATACTATGATGAGTGTGTGTGCAAGTTTCTCAGTTTGAGCCTTGATATTCTGGGCCCCCAGTTATAGGAATAGACTTCTGTGTTTTTCTTCATTCTGAGGCCTTATTGTAACAAAATGGCTATCTTTTTATCAGACCCAATTATTCTTTCACTTTATAGATATTTATGGCTTTCCTATTATATACCTATTATGTTTCAGATGGTAGTTATGTAATAGTAGATAAAACATATAAAATAATCAACATCGTGGAACTTATAACAATATCATCTCTTGCTCTTAGACTCTTTCACAGTATTGATATAATATTAGATTTGCCTCATTACAAAACCCATTTGTTTATTGCTTTACTCTTAGCTATTATTTGTCTTCTCCATTTACAACCAAACTTTTTCAATTTTGGAAGGAATATTAGGTTCAGCCACTGTGTTGCTTCAGATTGCAGCTAACAACACTGGTCTAGCAAGTGCTTCCCCCTCAGTTCACTCCTGTTCAGAGACAGTGACAATGTGATAGAAAATAAAAACCCATTTTCTGAGGAGAAATTCAAGCAGGCTGCAGAAATTTGCATAAGTAAGAAGGAGCCAAATGTTAATCACCAAGACAATGGGGAAAATGTCTCCAGGGCATGTCAGAGGTCTTCACAGCAGCCCCTCCCATCACAGGCCCAGAGGCCTAGGAGGGAGAAACAGTTTCCTGGGCCAAGCCCAGAGCCCCCCTGCTCTATGCAGCCTTGGGACATGGTGCCTGGTGTCTTATCTGCTTCAGCTCCATCCTTGGCTAAAAGAGGCCAAGGTACAGACCGCTTCAGAGAGTGCAAGCCCCAAGCATTGGCAGCTTCCACATGGTGTTGGTCCTGTGGGTGTGCAGAAGACAAGAACTGAGCTTTGAGAACCTCCGCCTAGATTTCAGAGGATGTATTGATGTGCCTGGATGTCCAGGAAGAAGTTTGCTGGGTTGGCAAGAGCCCTCATGGAGAATCTCTGCTAGGGCAGTGCAGAAGAAAAATGTGGTGTTGGAGCCCTTACACAGAGTACCCACTGGGGCACTGCCTGGTGGAGCTGTGAGAAGAGGGTCACCATCCTCCAGACTCCAGAATGATAGACCCACTGACAGCTTGCACTGTGTGCCTGGAAAAGCTGGAGACACTCAATGCCAGCCTGTGAAAGCAGCCAGGAGGGGAGCAAAGCCACAAGGATGGAGTTGCCCAAGGCCATGGGAGCCCACCTCTTGCATCAGCTTGACCTAGATTTGAGACATGGAGTCAAAAGAGATCATTTATGAGCTTTAAGAATTGACTGCCCTGCTGGATTTCGGACATGCATGGGTCCTGCAACACCTTTGTTTTGGCCAATTTCTCCCATCTGGAATGGGTGTATTTACCCAATGCTGTACTCCCATTGTATCTAGGAAGTAACTAACTTGCTTTTGATTTTACAGGCTTATAACCAGAAGGGACTTGCCTTGTCTCAGATGAGACTTTGGACTTGGACTTTGAGTTAATGCTGGAATTAGTTAAGGCTTTGAGGGACTTGTTGGAAGGGCATAATTGTGTTTTGAAATGTGAGGACATGAGACTTGGGAGGGGCCAGGCACAGAATGATAGGGTTTGGCCTTGTCTCCACCTAAATCTAATCTTGAATTGTAGTTCCCATAATCCCCATGTGTCTTGGTAGGGACCTAGTGAGAGGTTGAATCATAGGAGTGGTTACTCCCCATGCTGCTGTTCTCATGATAGTGAGTGAGTTCTCACAAGATCTGATGATTTTATAAAGAGTTTTTCCCCTTTTGCCCTTTTTCTCTCTTCTGCTGCCATCTGAAGAAGGATATGTTTGCTTCCCTTTCTGCCATAATTGTAAGTTTCCTGAAGCCTCCCCAGCCTTGCGGAACTGTGAGTCAATTAAACTTCTTTCCTTTATAAATTACCCAGTCTCAGGTACGTCTTTATTAGCAGCATGAGAATGGACTAATATACCTTCTCTCATGTTAACTGCCCTCTTGGATCAGACGTTGTAGAGATAATTTATCTTGTTCCCAACATAATTTTTCTCTTGAGGGGTGGTTTTGAGGTTAGTGGTCTGAGTTCACACTCATCAAAATCTGAGCTTATTCTAGCATTAAGGTCTGCTTTGGCATTCTCTTTTAATTTCATTTTAGCTATTACAGATTACAATAAGCAATGGATTATATATTTTTCTTTTAAAAATTAGTTTGCATTTCTTTATGGATCTTGTGAACCAGCTCTCTGGGGGTTGGATTTGTATCTAAATTATAGAAAATTTGAATGATCCTGGGAAGACAGGAGGCTTTTCTCTCCAGCAATTTGCAGAGTTGGGTCTGTAGTTAAGATCAAGAGCAGTTGACAGAATTGGTAGCAGCACAAGAGATCATGAGCCACCTAAGGTGACCTAACTGAGTTGTTTCTGGAGATCTAATTTTTTTTTTTTTAGATGGAATCTCACTCTGTCGGTCAGGCTGGAGTGCAGTGGTGCCATCTCAGCTCACTGTAACCTCTGCTGCCTGGGTTCAAGCAATTCTCCTGCCTCAGCCTCCTGAGTAGCTGGGATTAGAGGTGCCTGCCACTGCACCTGGCTAATTTTTGTAGTTTTAGTAGAGACGGGATTTCACCATCTTGGCCAGGCTGGTCTTGAACTCCTGACCTCATGATCTACCCTCCTCAGCCTCCCAAAGTGCTGGGATTACAGGCATGAGCCACCACGCCCAGCCTCTAATTTCTTTTTTTAAAATTTAATTTAATATTAAGTTCCGGGATGCATTTGCAGGACGTGCAGGTTTGTTACATAGGTAAATGTATGTCATGGTGGTTTGCTGCACCTATTAACCCACCACGTAGGTATTAAGCCCCACATGCATTAGCTATTTATCCTGATGCTCTTCCCACCTATCCCCGACAGGTCCCAGTGTGTGTGGTTCCCCTCCCTGTGTCCATGTGTTTTCATTGTTCAGCTCCCACTTATAAGTGAGAACATGCAGTGTTTGGTCTTCTGTTCGTGTGTTAGTTTGCTGAGAATGATGGCTTCCAGCTCCATCCATGTCTCTGCAAAGGATGTGATCTTGTTCCTTTTCATGGCTGTGTAGTACTCAGTGGTGTATATGTACCACATTTTCTTTATCCAGTCTATCATTGATAGGCATTGGGGTTGATTCCATGCCTTTGCTATTGTGAATAGTGCTGCAAAGTACATATGTGTGCATGTATCTTTATAATAAAATGATTTATATTCCTTTGGGTATAAACCCAGTAATGGGATTGCTGGGTCAAATGGTATTTCTGGTTCTAGGTCTTTGAGGAATTGCCACACTGTCTTACACAATGGTTGAACTCAGGCATCCTATAAAATGGGAGAAAATTTTTGCAATCTATCCATCTGACAAAGGTCTAATATCCAGAATCTATAAGGAGCATCACTGATTATTAGAGAAATGCAAATCAAAACCAGAATGAGATAACATCTCACACCAGTCAGAATGGCCATTATTAAAAAGTCAAGAAATAATAGATGCTAGCAAGGCTTTGGAGAAATAGGAAACAGCTTTTACACTCTTGGTGAGATCTGATTTCTTAATTAACTTAGATACTAATTTATTAATAGACAGGAAACTAATTTCTAATTTCTTAACAGATACATACTGGCTTCTCAGCCAGGCTACTGACCTTTACCCCTTACATACACACCTTAACTTCTGTATGAACATGGATGTGACTGCATTGGGTAAGAGAGGGGAGAGGTGGTGGGCAGCAGAAGGGTGGCCTCTTTGAGGAAGATGTGGGTAAGGATAGCAGGATTCTACTTAGGGGTAGACAGAGCAGTGAACTTTCTGTGGATCAGAGACCTGGGTTTTGATTCTATGCTTGTACTGTCAGAGTATGCATATTCCATGTAGATTGTAGCCTGTGGCAGAGAGAAGAAAGTAGTCATCCTTCAATGCCTTCTCATCAGCTTCAAGATAATATGCCATTCATTCAAAATATTTTTATTGATCTCTTAGTGTATGCAAGAAAATATGTGGAAGGCAGTGGTGACTTAGAGACTCTAAGAAACTGGTTTGACTATAGGGTGGCAATCGGGGGAACAGTATTATTAACAGCCTAGAGAGGTTGGTGTGGTCTTGTGGGTTGTATTTGGACTTTAACAGTAACAGAGGAGCACTGCAGCTATTTAAGCAGGAGAGACTCTCTTGTCTTTCTCTGAGATTCTCTCCCTATGTCTCTAAATCTGTTTCTCTGCAGAGAAACAGATTTTATCCATATGCTCTTTATCCATACAGCCTTTATCTATAAGCTCTTCATCTGTTTCTCTTTGTTTCTCTGCTTCTCTGTCTCTTTTTGTCTCTCTACTGCTTTGTTTCTCTCCATTACTGTTATTGTAGCAGTATCTATATATCTCTCTGGGTCTCTTTCCAGCACTAGACCTCCCTGTGCCTTTAAGGAAATAAAGGAGCATAGGGCATTGGACCTGAAGCAGTATCTTTTGTTTCTTACCCTCTACTAGATCTTGCTGTCTGCCCTTGTCTCTGCGTATTAGTGAGCGTCCTCTCCTGACTCAACAAAGAAAGTAAGAGAATGAAGTGTATAGAACTGAAAATGCCTTGACGTATTCTTTTTCTCAAATGTGTCCAGATTTTTCCAAAAAGATTGAGCTTTAGAATTTATGTGATATCTAACCAAAGTGAACAAGTTCTGTGTCCCCAAAAACTCAGGATCCACCTCTATGACAAGGAGGAGCTCAGATAATCCATAATATTCCAATTCTTACCACTATTAAAACAGTTCTATTTAGCATCCAATACTAGGTTCATAATTCTGAACATCAGAATCTCAGAAGGTTTTCTGCATTCATAAATATTTTACTGTTTTTAAGAGGGTTCAATGTATTGGTTTTTGATACTTCAAAAATGATCGTGTACATGTGGTAGATGTATCAGGGTCCTTTGGTTGTAAAAAACAGAAAATACCTCTGGCCATCTTAAGAAAAATAAATTTTGGTTCAACCATTGTGGAAGTCAGTGTGGCGATTCCTCAGGGATCTAGAACTAGAAATACCATTTGACCCAGCCATCCCATTACTGGGTATATACCCAAAGGATTACAAAACATGCTGCTATAAAGACACATGCACACGTATGTTTATTGTGGCACTATTAACAATAGCAAAGACTTGGAACCAACCCAAATGTCCAACAATGATAGACTGGATTAAGAAAATGTGGCACATATACACCATGGGATACTATGCAGCCATAAAAAATGATGAGTTCATGTCCTTTGTAGGGACATGGATGAAACTGGAAACCATCATTCTCAGCAAACTATCGCAAGGACAAAAAACCAAACACTGCATGTTCTCACTCATAGGTGAGAATTGAACAATGAGAATACATGGACACAGGAAGGGGAAGATCACACACCGGGGACTGTTGTGAGGTGGGGGGAGAAGGGAGGGATAGCATTAGTAGATATACCTAATGCTAAATGACAGTTAATGGGTGCAGCACACCAGCATGGCACATGTATACATATGTAACAAACCTGCACATTGTGCACATGTACCCTAAAACTAAAAGTATAATAATAATTTAAAAAAAAGAAAAATCAATTGGAGAAGATAAAATTTTATAATTAAAAAAAGAAAAATAAATTTTGGAAAGATACAGTGAGTACCCCACCAAATGAAAGAACCAGTAGGACCATCAGGTTACTGGAGTAAAATGAATCAGGGTAGGCCTGGGGAATTCAGATTGGAAGTAACAGGTAACCCCATTTGGACAATACCATCTGTTGAAGATTCAAAGCACTAAGAAAAACTGACTTGTTGAAATTGGATCACTTGTTCACCCTTGTGATCAGTTTCATGGTCAAGAACTCACTGGAACTGTATGGAATAGGAATAGCCGTTCTCATGAATGTTCACAAATAGAGAAGAACAAGGGATGGCAACTTCTGTTATAGCAACTCATTATTAACTGCCTGTTTGATTATGGTATTCTATTCCTCTCTCTGCCAGGGAATAGAAAGTTTTTGCGTTTTGCTTGAGAATTGGGAAACATGAAGAACAGTGACTGAGTAAGGGGCTGGGTGTTATTTATAGCATGATTATAAATCTTTTATATTTGAAGGATTTTCAAGTTCCCCTTTGATTCCTTGAGTTGTTACATTTGAAATTCAAGGTGGTAAGTTGATTATGAGACCCTTCATTCTCCTTCTTCTACACTTGAGATCTGACCAAACACAAAAAGGGATAGGTTGCCAAAAGGAGGGCTTTGTTTAACTTTTTTGGAGTATTAGAACCTTATGGGTCTAAAAAAATATTTACATTAAGAAAATATTGACCATGAAGGAGAGCATGTAAACTCTGTAAAACAATGAAAACAAACAAGACAGAAGTTTCCAGTTTCCCCATTGCTTTCTACCTTTGTCCTCTTTTCTTATTCTTTCCTATTCTTTTATTCTTTTTTCCTTCTTTCTTTCTTTCTTTCCTCCCTTCCTCTCTCTTTTCCTTTCTTTCTTCCTCTCTCTCTCCCCACCCCATGAACCTTGACTAACTAACAAACCTCAAGGCTTGCAAAAATCATTCTCAAAAAATACTTTTCTGATGATTATTGACATGAAAGGGGCATGAAAGCAGGTATAAGCCCCCAACTGAGATTTTAAAATAGAAAGCTGTTGCCTTAGCCAAAACAAGGTAACGAGGATGTGTACTCCACTTCCTCTATCCTGTAAAAACTCTGATCTGACTTCAGTAAGGAGATCTCAATGCTCATCACCTGAATAAAGTCTTTAGCCTTTGAGTCACATCATTTTCATTTGACAGTCTTTGTCAGTGATTCCCGAATAGCACATGTGTAAAAATACATCTATCCTCCCAGATTTTGGGATTGATGGATGTGGCCTTGGATGAACAAAGTCCCAGTGGCCAATCTTCCCTGGTGAAAGTCAGCCTTGTACATCTAACTTAAAGTGTGCTATGAAATGAAAATGTTTTGGAAGCACTGCCTGTTCTCCCCTATCGCCACGCACACTGCTGGTCTCTCTTGGTTGCCAGGCACTGGTTTAGGTTCTGAGCAGAATACTCCACAGTGTTCTCTACAGTGTGTTGTAGAATAGGAGGGTCCTGGCAACCTGAGGCAGAGCTGGTGTTACAGAGTACCTGCCTACTGCTATAAAGTTTTACTTTATACGAATTCTGGAGAAGCTGAGTGAGGCCATGTCTGTTACCAGGAGACATGAGACTCACAGCAGATCTCTCTGGCTTAACATGGGAGATGGCGGTAAGTGCAGCTATATCTGAATTTTTTTAATAGTTAAAAGCTGACTTTATCCAAATAGGGATTAATGTATTTTCCATAAGAAGTTCTGTTCTAGGTAGAAAAAAAGTGAAGATTTTGGTTAGGTTAAACTGATTTTTAAAGTATAGGAAGAGTTACAGATTTTTTTCTTATTGAGTCTAGTCTTGAGAACAATTTATCAAGAACTCCAAATTTAAAGGCAATTAGTTAATTAAAAACTTGAAAGATCTAACTCTTTGAGTTTAAACTGGACTCATTAGAAAACAAATGGAAGAAAAAGGTATCTAAATGTTCATAATGACTTGTGTCTGACATTAAAACAAGGATTCAGTCACTAGAAGATATGTCAAAGTCCATCAGTACCAAATGGATAAAGCCAAAATAACTTTAAAACTATATCACATGAATGAAGACTTGCCATAGCAATAAAGTAGAGTTTGGATGAAGACGTCCATCTTCGGGAAAACCCAAAATAGCTTTTACAAAAAACTGAAGGATGAAATAAAAGATTAAGCCAACAGAAATAAACATATTGAAAATATCTCAATAAACAGAAATAACTTAGAGTGAGTCAGAACTGAGAACACCTAGAACAAGTTCCAAAGAACAAGAAAAGTCAGAGCAAATCTCTGACACTTGGAGAAGATAAAACAGATGCAGGTATGTTAGAGTGGATGTAATAAACAAATCAGAACATGTATATTACTTAGATAGCTCTCAATAATCTGATTTATGCTTTTGTAAAACCTTTGGAGAGGACACAAACAAAATATAGTCTGAATTATCTGAAAAGAATAAAAGGAACACTTAAAATCATATTAAGCATATAAAATAAATCAAGAATCTTTGGACCAGAAAATGCACAGTATGAAAATTAGCTTCAAAATCTCCAGGACAGAGATTAAGTAATTACTGATATATATCAAGAAAATGAAATAAAACTTCAGATCATTTACATATTTATACATCTTAAAGTAGAAGAAGATAACCTTCCTCATTGATTCTACCTTCAAATAGACCTGCTTATTATTATTATTTTTTAATGTTTTTGTAGAGATGGAGTCTTGCTATTTTGCCCAGGCTAGTCTTGAACTCCTGGGCTCAAGCGATCTTCCTGCCTCTGCCTCCCAAGTGCTGGGATTACAGATATGAGCCACCGCAACTGGCCCTGAACCTACTTTTAACATCCAGGAAAAATAGCCATATCATTGTTGTCCTAAAGTAATTAAAAATTCTCTCTATTCTAGTTTCGTTGCTGTTAAATTGTTATACAGGAGTTCAAATTGAAGCTTAATAGAATTAAAACTCTTAGGATGGTGTTTTCTAAATATATATTACTTAAATGTTGGGGAAGAGAAATAATTTTAATTTCTAGATAGTACATGTACAATATTCTGTTTTTTAAATAAGTTATACTGGGAGATTTATAAAGGCAGTTGAACAATCAAAGACATTTGGAACTAAATTTCTGTATATCAAGTGCTGTATTTACTATAGTTAAAACACAAGTATGAAAACAATGGAATGTTTATATACAAATGACTTTTATAAATGACTATTTCAATTGATTTAAGAAGTCATTTGATGAAAATGATAAAATAGTTAGAGATATAGTGGGAAAAAAAGAGACCCACGGGGAAACACCATGATAGACTGAGCCAAATGTAGAGCTCAGCTCTTCCTCCCCCAGGATCATAACATATCACCAGATAAACCTTTGAAAAAAAACGAAATGCAACAAAACAAAAAGAAAATCCAGAAAAGAAAATCGTTAGTTTTCTATATTTCATAATTTCTGTACTTTCCCTCTTCCCAGGTGTCTGTTCACACCTTCTCTGCTCTATCCAAGCGCACATCCTTTCCTTTTCTTCACTCCCAACTGATGCCTCTGCTTTTCAAAACTTCAGAGAAAATTGGAGAAATCAGAAAGGAATTTCTGTCAGATTTCAATACTACCTCAACACACCCACCTGCTTCTATATCCATGTATTCTACTTTCTGTCTGGTTCCTATTGATGAACTGTTTGTGCTCTAGCAAAGGCTGATCAATCCTCTGCTGCCCTGGATCCATCCCCTCACCGACCTAAAGACTTTGTTTCTGAGTTCACCCTCACTCTCCTGCTGTGTAATTTTGCATACTCTATAGGTCATTACCATAGAATACAAGCATGCTGCCATTACATCCATCTTACAGAAAAAAACTCTTTCTGCCTTCTCTTGACCTCCCTTTCCCTACAGCTATTGAATCATTTCTTCCTGCCTTCAGCAAAGCACTATTCATGAGTTTTCTATGCTTTCTGTCTCTAAGTTGTCTCCCACTGTTCTCTCTTGCTTCCATTCCAGTGTGGCTGTTGCCTTCTTTTTCTCTAGCAAAACTCCTCCCTTAGTGTCACAGATGACTTCCTTATTGCTAAATCCAATGGTCAGTTCTTAATCTTCATCTCACTTGACCTACTATACTAACAGCCTTTGACACAGCTCCTTCTTCTTTGATATACTTTAATACTTTCTTTTTTTTTTCTTTCACCCAAAGCAAGATTCCTCCTCCTATCTTGTCTGAAGGAGAGTGGCGAGAGCAGATTAAAGCATCCGTGAGGCAGCCTTCTAAAATTTCTCAGGAAGTGGTAGCCAGTGTGAAAATGTATCACCTCACCTTGCTTCATATTTCCCTTCTCTCAGTTCCCTTTTTTTCTCACCTTTGCTGCCCTCTATTTGCATTCCCAAATAAAACATTAATATTTCCTTTTTTGCCTCAAGCTCTGATTTTTAGAGAATCTAGGCTAAGAAACTCACTAAGGTCTTAAGGTAAAAGGCCCAGCAAACACACTGTTATTTTGCTCAATCACAGAACGCTCTAGCTATTCAAAAACTGTTTTCTCTTTCTCCTTCTTCCACATGCACATCCACTAAACCCCGGACCCCAAATTGACAGACCATTCCCAAAACAATAACTTCTGGGTATGTGCTGGCCCTGGCTGGTGGCTTTTCAGTGTAGAGTTCCATGGTTCTAAATTCTTGACTTCAGGAACTCTCCAAATTATATAAAATGGCAAACTCAGAACCAGTTATTTATACTTGAAATACATTTTTATGTATAAAGAAATAAATTTTAACATATTAAGGCATAGTCACAGGACAAATGACAAGTATTGTCATTGTACAGTTATCTAGTGTGTTTGGATTATAAAGGCACACAAGGATTTTTATGGTAGGGAAGACATTGCTATTGTTTTCAACAGAGAAATAGGAGGATTAGGCAGAGGAAGGGAATTAGGAGAAATTTCACCGAAAAAGCCCATGAAGCTTTGGGTAAGGCAGACGAGGCTGGATATGACAGGAAGAATTTGCTGGATACATTATGGTCTGCTGGCACCATCTGGTGTTGAACCCAAGAAAAAACGGAAGATGAAGAAAAAGCTTTCAGAAAGTAATGGAGCCAAGATGAGGCCCACTGAGGGTCTTGTTCAAGTGACATCGGGATCTCGTAACAGAACAAATGGCTGTCAAAGTAGCTGGAAAAGCCCTAGGCTATATCTCCTTAGGGCTCCTTCCTTCCCCAACTTTCCAGATGTCAGACCCTAACCTACCTCAGAGATAGCACTTTACCTTTCACCCTCTCTTACCCATGTTCCTCCAACTGGTGCCATTCCCATCTGACTATCCCATGCCCACACCCAGATCCAGAAGCTGGATAACCCCGCCTCCCTAAACAGCAGATGCCATGTTGGAGAGGTGAATGCAATTGGAATCACTGAGCATTTACTTCACGTTCTCATTTCCACCGATTTTACCTCATGCCTCACTATTTAATAATATAAAATTAAAGTAAAATCTTCCCTTCAAAAAAATTTTTAATGAAATAACATTGCTCTGAAAAAGATAGTTCAACATATGTCAAAATGGCCTTTTCTCTTATTATAAAAATGAAAATTTAAAACCATACATAATGAAACAAAAGGACACTAAAAACATTTTATCAAATATGTTTGTATATGTTCCTGTGCTTTTGTGTTTCTATGTGCACACCTATGCTTTGTGCACTAGAATGACTGCTGCTAGTCTCACTCTGACCCTGTAGGCTTACTCCCATGTAATAAAACATGCCTCTTGATATAGCAATATGCCCTGATTTATGGCAGTGCTTCTATGCCAGGAGCATTTTTGCTTCCTAGGGCATATTTGACAATGTCTGGAGGTATTTTTGCTTGTCACAACTTGGGGGGAAAGGAGATGCTACTAGCATCTAGTGCACAGAGGCCAAAGATACTGCTGAGCATCCTAAAATGCAGAAGAGAGACCCTGACAACAGAAAATTATCTGTTCCAAAATGTCCATAGGGCTAAGGGTGAGAAATTTTGATTTATAAAACACTGGTACCCATGTCCTGTTTGGATCTGAGCTCTTTTCCTTTTGCCAAGTGTGCATAGTTTCAAAGCAGGCCCCAGATGGAATTCTGTGAACTCTCTGTTTAATTGAAGATGGAAAAGATATCATTAATTACTAACTGCTGGTGAATGTCCCTTCTTGTGAATAACTGAAATAAAAAATCATGTTATCAAGTGTTAGAATGAGTGATTTGGCCTGTTCCCCCAGTTTGCCACAGCCTGCTCTAGAACACAGATACCTATTCCTTTTCAGTGCTTGAGTATATTTAAATAAAGCATGCCCTAATTTATAGTTAAGTTTTAAGTAATTCAAGAAGGGCTCTATACTTTTCTCTGAGTTGATCCAAAACAATGACTATTATATAATAAACAAGACCTTGTATACCAAAATTGTGTTTGAGGGCTTATATGTCTTTTTTTAATGAATAAATAAAAGGTGGAAACGGAAGGAAGGGAAGGAAAAAAGCAAGAAAGGAAGGAAGGCTAAAGAAAAGCACAGGAAGCCGGGGAGAGCGAGAAACAGAAATGATGTGACTCATGGAGATCTAAAAGGCATGGGGGAATATTGCCTTACATGGGCTCAAAAGAAGTCTGGAAAGAGATTGGAGAGGATAGAAAGCTCTGAGGCCAAGTGAAATACAGTAATGCAGATGGAGAAGATTACATCTCTTCCTTTACAGACTGGCAAAGTTCTTGAGTGAAAAATTATACAAGATGACCTTTAAAGTTGCTTTGTGAAAAAAGTTGAGCGCTGTGTACTCTG
Source organism: Homo sapiens (assembly GCF_000001405.40). NCBI lineage: Eukaryota > Metazoa > Chordata > Mammalia > Primates > Hominidae > Homo > Homo sapiens. Next base: position 494,856 of record NT_167245.2, read on the forward strand.
CTTCATTTTTTATGTGCCTAAGTCTCTGTTAAATAATCGCAGTGCTCCTTTCACGTCATTATTCCTCAGTGTGTAGATGAGAGGATTGAGGGTCGGGGTCACAACTGTATAGAAGAGGGAGATGAACTTCCCATGAGCATGGGCATAAGAACTGTTGGACTGGATGTAGACAGCTGTGATGGTCCCACAGAAGAGGGACACTACTATCAAATGGGATCCACATGTCCCCAGGCCTTTGCACCAGGCCTGGACTGACTTGATCCTTATGACCACCTTGGCTATATGTCCATAGGACAGCAGTATTAGCACTAAGGGCAAGAGGAGCAAGACCAGTGAAGCAACAAAGAGCTGAACCTCATTATCATGGATGTCCACACATGCAAGCTTAATCATGGAGGGTACCTCACGAAGAAATGTTGGAGCAATCGGTGTCCACAGCGAGGAAGCCAGAGGGTGACAGTGCCCTGGATAAGAGTGTTTCCCACTCCACTCAGCCACGCAACCCCTGCCAGAGCCTGGCACAGCTGAGGGTTCATTACGGCGGTATAGTGGAGAGGTTTGCAAACTGCAGCATAGCGATCAAAAGCCATTACAGCCAGGAGGACACACTCAGTGGAGCCCAATGCCAGGGAGATGTAGAGCTGGATGACACAACCCAGGAATGTGATTGTTTTGTCAGGTCCTTTTAGGTTCCACAGCAGCTGGGGGACAATACTGGTGGTAAAACAGATATCAACTAAGGAGAGGTGAGTAAGAAAAAATACATGGGTGTCTTGAGTTTAGGGTCTACAGAGCAGATCAGAATAATTACTGTATTTCCCACAAGGGTAAGGAGATAGGATATCAAAACAGCCACAAAGAGGATCTTTTCCAGGTGGGGCTGATGAGAGAAACCCACCAGGATGAAGTCTCCCTTGACACTGCTGTTGGTCATGCCCATCACCCTGTTCAGAACTAGGAGAAACACATTACAAGAATTCAGGGAGGATAATGTGTTGGCCATTGGGCAAAATATCAATCTTTAAAAAGTTTTGATTAATCTCTAATCAAAACACTGACTCAGAGATGTTACAGTGACCCATGGAATAAATTTTGATATAGAAATCACAAAAGAAGACCTTAAAGAAAATACATAATACAGAGAGATACATGAAGGCTATTGTGGAAGCAGTATTTTCCTGACTGATAACTATTAGAAGCTGAGATAAAGTGTATCACAGAAAAAATAAAGGCAGAAAGAAAGAAAATGTCAAAGGAATAAAGTACATTCAATTAATTTATAACTCAGGACAAATTGTTCAAATTCAGTGAAAAAACTCAGTAATGGTTAATATATGCAAATAATTAATATAAATAGCATTTCCATTCTTCAATTGTAAATTCTGAGTTGGGCATTTTTTAAGGTTTTTCTTTATATGAATGGTAGCTCGCTTCTGGAGATTATAGAGGTTATTTTTCCTATAAAATGGCAAACATTTGGCTATTGAAAGTAATAATATTAACATTTATAACTTAATGTTTAATTATATGGACACATACTTTCAATGACTTATTTTCTTTAGGGATTCGTTAACTCATTTAGTCCACCAGCATACTGATGACGTAAACTCATGCAGTTTATTCAGCAAAGATATTCTTATGCAAGCATTATGCAGCACACCTCATGTTTAGTCATCTAGTTTACCTTCTGGCCTATAAGCTGGATTCATCTATGATAGTCCTGATTTGCAAAGTTCTCCTTCTCTTCTTTGGTGTGTGGTGTTAGGGAAGGGAGTTAGCTCTCTGGTCTTGTGTGTTGAATGAAGAGGTAGTTGAATCTGAATGGAAAGAGTGGTGATCAGGGTAAGAAGGGCTCTTTAGTGAGACTAAGAGGCATCAAACCAACATAGAATGTTTATCTTCTAGAAGATGAAAAGATCAAAATTTTTAATCAGCTTTTTAAAAGTCCAAACACTTATAAATGCAGAAGTTTAAAATATATTCACAGATACAAAGTATATACCCAAATTTCACGACTTTACCTCATATATAGGACAAATAGGCACTTTCCACGTGGCATCAGGAAAAATTACTCCAGCCTAAAATTCTTCCCCTACAATAACTGTATATCCTGAAATTGCATTAATATTTGTTCTGAAAATTAGTCATTAAAGTAAAATATATAAGGTAATTTTCACTGCTTTTTTAATATTTATTTCACTTATCATCTAAAAATTGTACTTAGCAGTACTCAATGGAAATGAAAAGAAGTCACAGGAAAAGTCAGAGGAGGCATGGGTACCCCATAAAAGGATGAAGACACTGAGTGATCCCTCAAAATAGGGGGAGGAGAGCACAATAGTAAAAAGAGAACATGAAAGGACCCTTAAGGAATAAACCAGTTTATAAATATGCTACATGTAATATATTCAATATAACGTATACTAAATATATATAGTTCTAATAATTTCACTCACAGTTATACACATACATACCCATAAAAACATACATACATGCGTAAGTCTTCCGATTCTCTCATTTATGTTAATTCCCACCCATTTAGCTACACTAAATTGTACTCGTTTTACTTGTATCAAAGGAATAAAATAAAGCCAGACACACATCACTCTTGTTCTAATCTGTTTAATGCAGCCTGCTCATTGTCAATTTACCCATCCCAATCAAAGGAGACTTCTCCTGTATTTTTAACACACACTCACACACAATACCTCCAAAGAAACGCGATGAGAGATCAATTCACAGTCATGAACCAGCTCCTTATTTGTAGGAATATGTTTGTTTTAGGCTTGTAGAAGAATTTTATTTTACCATGATGCAAAATTTAACATGTGCACTATATAATCTCCCCTCACCCAGATGAACATCACTTTAAACCAGTTCGCCATTAAAAGTTAAGAATCATGGGCATGGTATAGAAATAAAATCAAAGCATAAAAAGAAATAAATATGTTACAAGAAAAAAAGTTTTCCACATTTTTTTCACACTAATAATCATATTTTAATACAGAAAGGAAGCTTAAGCCATAGAGTTCAAACCATTATTACCTTCAAGTGACAACTCAGTGTCTAAGGCTCATGTATTGGTTGTCGGGGCTGTTATTTGAGATTGGAGATCACTGAAGATCAGCAAATCAGGAGACACTGGCAAGGACGCAGGACACTGAATCCAAAAAGATCCCAGGGACACAGTTCTCCCAACATGCAATTAATATCAGGCTCTGTAGTATCCAAAGATGAAATGTCCCAGGAGATTATTCTGAAAGAAATAATTTTGACTCTCTGATCTTTCAATATTGTGTAAATCTAGGCAAAACCACAAAGATATTTAACTTCTGCCCTCATAGCCTCCCAACGTTCAATTTTCTCATTTCTGCTGTTAAGTTTCTATCAAAAATCTAGTATTTTATATATGCAAGTACATATAATTAATTTATCCTGTTGACTCATAACTTTAAATTCTCTTCTTAATAACTTTAAATTTTGGGGCACCTTGCCTTTACCTCACCTCTACTGAGACAAAAACGGCAGGCCTGCAGCCTTCCAACAGGGCCTTTTCCCTCATATCTAATAGGCACTTGACTGTTGCTGGAGATAAATATATAAATGTTTTGAACGGCGCCCTTAAACACCCCTGGTCTTTCTCAACTTCCAATGGGCTCTCTTCTGTCCAGAGGTCATTCTGTGTGTATCCTGTTTGTCTCTTGCATCACCATAGCAAATGTTCAACAAATTCTTAAATCCTCCAATCCAGTGTCCCACAGCTCTCCAAGCAGGTTATCTTGCCCTGACTTCCAAGACAAAACAGAGGGCCCAGGGGGAAATTCCATTAACTTCCTGTCTGTCACCTATAAATGTATATACATTCATACTCTTCCTTTATGATTTTTTTTCAGGTCTCAATAGAGGAAGTGAACCTCTATTTGTTTAAGGCAAATTCTATAAATATTTTAGGGTCCAAGAAAAATCTAATGCATATTCAAGTACAAGCAGGTGATATGAATGACTGAGTGGATAAGGTATAAGAAAAACAATTGTAGAAATGCAATGATAAGTGTCAACAAACATTTAGCTGAGGTCTATATGCAGTAATAAAAGAGTGGTGAACATTTTGCTGCACATGCCACATCTGAAGAAAACAACAACTGCTGAGCGCTAGTTGACCAATTTTCTATGCATTGAGCCCCAGGATTGCAAAATATTCTGAATTCTCAATGGAATCTAGATTTTTATGAAAGCTTTCATTTAAAAAAATAGTTTAGTTAGTGGGTGCAGCGCACCAGCATGGCACATGTATACATATGTAACTAACCTGCACAATGTGCACATGCACCCTAGAACTTAAAGTATAATAAAAAAAAGAAAAAAAGAAAAAAAAATGTTTGCTGAAGGCAAAAAAAAAAAAGTTTATATAAAATAGTTCATGAAGGTGCAACTTAATTATTACAAAGTGAACAAATTTTGATCAAGAAAACAATGTAAGAAACATTCTAGAATGACTCTCAATTTCATTTCCTTATGCTACTTATACCTGCCCCTTGTAACCATTATTATGATTTTTTTGAACTATATATAAACAAAATCATACAGCATTATTTCTTTTGTTTCTGCTTATATTTATTCAATGTTATCTTTGGGAGATTCATTTATGTGGTTGCATATACCAATACAGCACTATATTTTTACTGCATTGTATTTCATTGTATAAATATGCCACAACTATTTTATCCTTTGTAGTACTGATAGGCTAGACATTTGGGTGCTTATGATTTTTGTCTTTTGTGAATATTGCTGCTGCAGTCACTTTAGTATATGTGTTTGGTAAGAAATGTAAGCATTTTGGCAGGGACGATACTGTGGAGAAATTGCTTAGGTTTGAGGTATGCATATATTCAGCTTTGGTAGATACCACCAATTCTGGAAGTTGGTTGCACAAACTTAAACTCCACAGTATGGTGAGAATTACAGTTGCTCCAAATCTATACTAACAGTGTTTTCTGTCCTCTTAATTTTAGCCATTCTGGTGATATATCATGAATATATCATTATGATTTTAATTTGTACTCACCTACTAACTAATGAAGTTGACCAGTTTCTCTTATATTTATAGTCATTGAGAAATCTTTTGTGTAGTATCCATTCAAGTCCTTGACTTTTTCCAAATTCATTTGTAGGAAATTTTTATATATGCCAGAGGTTTAAAAAATAGAAGGCAAGTTTCAAATACTATTTTAGTCAAGTATAACTTTGGCAACAAAACAAAATTTTAAAATTGCATGATAGTCCCATGAATTAACATAGATTTGAAAATATTACCAATTAATTCAATTATTTAAAATATTCTACACACTGCTGAAAGTAAATTTATTCCAGAAAAAAATGAAATTCATTTTTTCATTGTGTTAGCAAAATAACACAATAAAGAAACAACATTTTATAATCATATCATCAGATAAAAAATCAAGTATTTGATGAGTCTCAAAATATATAAAAATAATAAAAATGACTTAGTAAGCTATGAAAAGAATGATAGATCCTAATCTGTTAAACAGGATCCGAAAACCCTTTCAGCAAGCATTATGAATATGTTGAAAATTTTCTCTTTGAAATTGAGGAAAAGACAAGGACACCTTCTATTTCCATTTCCATTCAAACTACTTTGTTGTAGAGACTTTAGCCAGTATAATAGGATAAGACAAGGAACAAGCAAGATTGCAGTAGAAGAAATAAAATTTCATTATTATATATATGATTATGTATGTAGAAAATTCAAAGTGATTACAACTATTCATAGATGATTCAAAATTGTATAGATATTAATTATATCTTTGATCTCTATATTCAGTGCTAACTCAATCAAAATTCAGACTATTTGTAAAATTTTCTAAGATTATTCTAAAATGTATATAGAATACCAAGTTGTATATAGAATATCAAGTATCATTAATTCTGAGACACTCTTGAAGAAAAAATTGTCAACAAAAAAGAGTCAAACTCCATGAAATATTTAAAGAGTTTTATTCTGAGCCAAATGTGAGTAATTGACGGCCTGAGGCGCAGTCTCAAGACATCCTGAGAACAAGTGCCCAAGGTGATTGAATTACAACTTGATTTACATTTTAGGAGCATGTAAAAAATCAGTCAATACATGTGGGGTCTGTGTTGGTTCAGTCATGAAAGGTGGAACAACTCAAAGTGGGGCCTTCCACATCAAAGGTAAATTCAAAGATTTTCTTATTGGCAATTGGTTGAAAAACTTGTTACTATTTAAATGCCTAGAATCAATAGAAAGGAGTGTCTGGATTAAAATAAGGGATTGTAGAGAACAAGGTTCTTATTATGTAGATGAAGTCTCATAAGTGGTCACCCTTACAAGCAATAGATGGGAAATATTTTGTATTCAGACCTTTAAAAGGTACTGGACTCTCAACTAAACTCTTCAGGATCAGAAAAAGACCTGGAAAGCAAAGGCGATTCGCTACAGAATGTAAATTTCCCCCACCAGAAGCAGCTTTGCAGGGACATACTCTCCTCCCTTTGGAATTCAGGCATAACTTACCAGCATTATTAACTTTAAAACAGAGATCTTAATTAAGACTGACAAAACAGATTCCTTATAGCAATAACATACCAAATTGCAACCTGACTCTAGTATAGCATCACATGATAGATAGCCAGTCCTGAAAGAAATCAAAGTATTTTACCCCAAAATAGATTTCTTTGACACCTTTTGGAATGCCTTTGAAAAGCTGTTGAAGTGGCATCGTTGTCTGGGGTAAATACCCAGGGTTCATCGTCTTGCACTAAGAAGATTAAGGACACGGACACATGTGGGTGTGTTAAGGAGCAGAGAGTTTAACAGGCAGAAGAAAGGAGAGAGGCAAGCAGCTCTCTCTCTCTCTCTCCCTCGTGAGAAAGAAGTTTTTGAAAGGGAAACAACTGGCTTGCGGCAGACCACAGCAGATTTTATAGGCAAGCTTGAGGAGGAGCCGGTGTCTGATTTACACAGGGTCACAGATTGGTTCTACCAGGTGTGACATTTACATAGCCCGCAGGGAAGTCTGGTTGACCCACCTTAATCTTATGGCCAGCACCATCTTGTCTGCTCCTTATTCTACACGTGGCTGACAAAGAGAAGGGAAGATGGAGCCACCATTTTGATCATGCTTAATCCCAGGTAGCCTTTTTCTATTAGCACAACTGCCAGCATTGATCAATGCAAACTTCCTGTTTGCTTGTCTATGTCTGCAGCTAGATTCTATACAGGCTGCTCTTTGTTAGAAAAAATGATTTGGGGGCTGCTTTTTATTAAAAGGAAAACCTTACCCAGGAAGGATTTCCTTACCCTCACTATCTGCCTAAATAATTTGTTTATAACACCTATATTATTGTTTCTTGTGGGGAAAATCTACATTCTGTATAGAATTCGCTACCCTTTCCAGGTCTTTTCCAGATCCAGGAGAGATTTAACTAATAGTCTGACACTTTTTAAGATCTCATAAGAGACATTTACTACTTAATTTTTTCTGAAGCCTGCCACCTGAAGACTTTATTTACATAACAAGAACCTTGGCTTCCACAACTCCCCCTATCTTAAACCCAAGCATTTCTGCTGACTTCGACTTTTTTTTTTCTAATAAAAACTTTATTTTAGGTTCAGGGGTACGTGTGAAGGTTTGTTACAGAAGGGAAACTGTGTCACAGGGGTTTGTTGTACAGATTATTTCATCACCCATGTATTATGCTCAGTATCCAATAGTTATCTTTTTCCCCTCCTACCCCTTCTCCCACCTTCCACCCTCAAGAAAATCTGTTTCTGTTTTTTCCTTCTTTGTGTTTATGAGTTCTCATAATTTAGCTCCCACTTATAAGTGAGAACATGTGGTATTTATTTATTTGTTCCTGCATTAGTTAGCTAAGGATAATGGCCTCTAGCTCCATCCATGCTCCCACAAAATACATGATCTTTTTTTTATAGCTGTATATACCACATTTTTAAAATCTAATTTGTCATTGGTAGGCATTTAGGTTGATTCCATGTCTTGCTTTTCTGGATAGTGCTGTGATGAACATTTACCTGCACATGTGCTGTATCCTTTTTTTTTTTTTTTTGAGACAGGATGTCACTCTCTCGCCCAGGCTGCGGCGCAGTGGCACAATCATGGCTCACTGCAGTCTTGACCTCCCCAGTCTCGGGTGATCCTCCCATCTCAGCTTCCCTGGTAGCTGGGACCACAGGCATGCACCACCACACCCGGCTAATTTTTGTATTTTTGGTAGAAATGCGGTTTGGCCATGTTGCCCACGCTGGTCTCAAAGTGCTTGGATTATAGCTGAGAGCTGCCGCACCTGGCCACATGTGTCTTTACAGTAAAATGATTTCTATTCTTCTGGGTGTATACCCAGTAATGGGATTGCTGGGTTGAATGGTAGTTTTGCTTTTAGCTCTTTGAGGAATAGCCATACTGTTTTCCACATTGGCTTAACCAATTTATACTCCCATCAACAGCATATAAGTGTTCCCTTTTCTCTGCAACCTTGCCAGCATCTGTTATTTTTTTACGTTTTAATAATAGCCATTCTGACTGGTGTGAGATGGTATCTCATTCTGGATTTGATTTGCATTTCTCTGATGACCAGTGATATTGAGCTTTTTTTTTTTTTCATATGCTTACTGGCCACATGTATGTGTTCTTTGGAAAAGTGTCTGTTCATGTCCTTTGCCCACTTTTTAATGGGGTTGTTTGTTTTTCTCTCATAAATTTGTTTAAGTTCCTCATAGAAGCTGGATATTAGCTAGTTATCCCAGCATGTTTGATGGAATAGGGAGTCTTTTCCCCTTTGTTTTTGTCAGTTTTGTTGAAGATCAACTGGTCATAGGTGTGCATTCTTATTTCTGGGCTCTCTATTCTGTTCCATTGGTCTATGTACCTGTTTTTGTACCAGTACAATGCTGTTTGGTTACCATAGTTCTGTAGTGTAGTTTAAAGTTGGGTGATGCCTCTAGCTTTGTTCTTTTTGCTTTGGATTGCCTTTGCTATTCGGGCTTTGTTTTTGTTCCATATGAAATTTAAAATAGATTTTCCTAGTTCTGCAAAGAATGTTGTTGGTATTTTGATAGGAATATCATTGAATATGTAAATTGCTTTGGGCAGTATGGCCATTTTAATAATATTGATTCTTCCTATCCACGAGCATGGGATGTTATTCCATTTGTTTGTGTCTTCTCTGATTTCTTTAAGCACGGATCTGATTTCTTTGTAATTCTCATTGTAGAGATCTTTCACCTACCTGGTTAGCTGTACCCCTAAGTATTCTATCCTTTCTGTGGCAATTGTAATTCCCAAATTAGAAAAGGATTGCCTTTCTAATTTGGCTCTTGGCTTGGCTGTTGGTGTATAGTAATGCTAGTGATTTTTGTATATGGATTTGTATTCTGAAACTTTGCTGAAGTTGTGTATCAGCTGAAGGAGCTTTTATGCTGAGGCAATGGGGTTTTCTAGATATAGTATCATGTGGTCTGCAAACAGATAGTTTGCCTTTCTTTCTTCCTATTTACATGCCATTTTTTTCTTTCTCTTGCCTGATTACTCTGGTTAGGAGCAATTCCTATATATATGTGTGTGTGTGTGTATATACACACTTTATATATATATACTTTATATATGTATATACTTTATATATACTTTATATATGTATATATACTTTATATATACTTTATATATATACTTTATACATATATATTATATATTATATATTTTAAGTTCTGAGATACATGTGTAGACGTGGAGGTTTGTTACATAGGTATACACGTGCCATGGTGATTGATGCACCCATCAACCTGTCATCTACATTAGGTATTTCTCCTAATGCTATCCCTCCCCTGGCCCCCCACCCCCTAAAAGACCACAGTGTGTGATGCTCCCCTCCCTGTGTCCATATGTTTTTATTTTTCAACTCCCAGTTATGAGTGAGGACATGCAGTGTTTGGTTTTCTGTTCCTGTGTTAGTTTGCTGTGAACGATGATTTCCAGCTTCATCCATGTCCCTGCAAAGGACATGAACTCATCCTTTTTTTTATGGCTGCATAATATTCCATGGGTTATATGTGCCACATTTTCTTTATCCAGACTATCATTGATGGGCATTTGGGTTGGTTCCAAGTCTTTGCTATTGTAAACAGTGCTGCAATAAACATACGTGTGCTTGTGTCTTTATATTAGAATGATTTATAATCCTTTGGGTATATACCCAGTAATGGGAATGCTGGGTCAAATGGTATTGCTGGTTCTAGATCCTTGAGGAATTGCTGCACTGTCTTCTACAATGGTTGAACTAATTTTCACTCCCAAGAACAGTATAAAAGCATTCCTATTTCTCCATATCCTCTCCAGTATCTGTAGTTTCCTAACTTTTTAATGATCGCCATTCTAACTGGCATGAGGTGGTACCTCACTGTGGTTTTGATTTGCATTTCTCTAATGACCAGTGATGATGAGCTTTTTTTCATGTTTGTTGGCCACATATATGTCTTCTTTGGAGAAGTGTTGATTCATTTGCTTCACCCACTTTTTGATGGGGTTGTTTGTTTTCTTCTTGTAAATTTGTTTAAGTTCCTTGTAGATTCTGGATATTGGCCCTTTGTCAGATGGATAGATTGCAAAAATTGTCTCCCATTCTGTAGGTTACCTTTTCACTCTGTTGTTAGTTTCTTTTGCTGTGCAGAAGTTCTTTACTTTAATTAGATCTGATTTGTCTATTTTGGCTTTTGTTGCCATTGCTTTGGTGTTTTAGTCATGAAGTCTTTGCCCATCCTGAATGGTATTGCCTAGGTTTTCTTCTAGGGTTTTTATGTTTTTAGGTCTTATATTTAAGTCTTTAATTCATCTTGAGTTAGTTTTTGTATAAGGTGTAAAGAAGGGGTCCAGTTTCAGCTTTTTGCATATGGCCAGCCAGTTTTTTCAATACCATTTATTAAATAGGGAATCCTTTCCCCATTGCTTGTTTTTTGTCAGGTTTGTCAAAGATCAGATGGTAGTAGACATGTGGCATTATTTCTGAGGCCTCTATTTTGTTCCATTGGTCTATATATCTGTTTTGGTACCAGTACCATGCTGTTTTGGTTACTGTACCCTTTTAGTATAGTTTGAAGTCAGGTAGTGTGATGCCTCTAGCTTTGTTCTTTTTGCTTAGGATTGTCTTGGCAATACGGGATGGGCTCTTTTTTGGTTCCATATGAAATTTAAAGTAGTTTTTTCTAATTCTGTGAAGAAAGTCAGTGGTAGCTTGATGGGGATAGCATTGAATCTATAAATTACTTTGGGCAGTATGGCCTTTTTCACTATATTGATTCTTTCTATCCATGATCATGGAATGATTTTCCATTTGTTTATGTCCTCTGTTATTTCCTTGAGAAGTGGTTTGTAGTTGTCCTTGAAGAGGTCCTTCACATCCCTTGTAAGTTGTATTCCTAGGTATTTTATTCTCTTTGTAGCAATTGTGAATGGGAGCTCATTCATGATTTGGCTTTCTGTTTGTCTATTATTGGTGTATAGAAATGCCTGTGATTTTTGCACATTGATTATGTATCCTAAGACTTTGCTGAAGTTGCTTATCAGCTTAAGGAGATTTTGGGCTGAGGTGATGGGGTTTCCTAAATATACAATCATGTTATCTGCAAACAGATACAATTTGACTTCCTCTCCTCCTAATTGAATATGCTTTATTTCTTTCTCTTGCCTGATTGCCCTGGCCAGAACTTCCAATACTGTGTTGAATAGGAGTTGTGAGAGAGGGCATCCTTGTCTCGTGCTGGTTTTCAAAGGGAATGCTTCCAGCTTTTGCCCATTCGGTATGATATTAGCTGTGGGTTTGTCATAAATACCTCTTACTATTTTTAGATATGTTCCATCAATACCTAGTTTATTGAGTGTTTTTAGAATCAAGGGTTGTTGAATTTTATCAAAAGCCTTTTCTGCAGCTATTGAAATAATCATGGGGTTTTTATCATTGGTTCTGTTTATGTGATGGATTATGTTTATTGATTTGTGTATGTTGAACCACCCTTGCATCTCAGGGATGAAGCTGACTTGATCATGGTGAATAAGCTTTTTGATGTACTGCTTGATTTGGTTTGCCAGTATTTTATTGAGGATTTTTGCATCAATGTTCATAATGGATATTGGCCTGAAATTTTCTTTTTTCATTGTGTCTCTGCCAGGCTTTGGTATCAGAATGATGCTGGCCTCATAAAATGAGTTAGGGAAGAGTCCCTCTTTTTCTATTGTTTAGAATAGTTTCAGAAGGAATGATAGCAGCTCTTCTTTGTGCCTCTGGTACAATTCGGCTGTTTATCCATCTGGTCCTAGGCTTTTTTTGTTGGTAGGCTATTAATTACTGCCTCAATTTCAGAACTTGTTATTGGTCTATTCAGGAACTGGATTTCTTCTTAGTTTAGTCTTGGGAGGATGTATGTGTCCAGGAATTTATCCCTTTCTTCTAGATTTTCTAATTTATTTGCATAGAGGTGTTTACAGTATTCTCTGGTGGTAATTTGTATTTCTGTGGGATCAGTGGTAATATCTCCTTTATCATTTTTTATTCTGTCTATTTGATTCTTCTCTCTTTTCTTCTTTATTAGTCTGGCTAGTAGTTTATCTATTTTGTTAATCTTTTCAAGAAACCGACTCCTGGATTCATTGATTTTTGAAGGATTTTTCATGTCTCTATCTCCTTCAGTTCTGCTCTGTTCTTAGTTATTTCTTATCTTCTGCTAGCTTTTGACTTTGTTTACTCTTGCTTCTCTGGTTCTTTTAATTGTGATGGTAGGGCGTTGATTTTAGATCTCTCCCCCTTCCTCCTGTGGGCATGTAGTGCTATAAATTTCCCTGTAAACACTGCTTTAGCTGTGTCCCAGAGATTCTGGTATGTTGTGTCTTTGTTCTCATTGGTTTCAAAGAATCTATTTATTTCTGCCATAATTTTGTTATTTACCCAGTAGTCATTCAGGAGCACATTGTTCAGTTTCCATACAGTTTTACAGTTTTGAGTGAGTTTCTTAATCCTGAGTTCGAATTTGATTAAACTGTGGTCTGAGAGACTGTTTGTTATGATTCCCATTCTTTTGCATTTTCTGAGGAGAGTTTTACTTCCAATTATGTGGTCAATTTTAGAATAAGTGCTATGTGGTGCTGAGAATAATGTATGTTCTGTTGATTTGGGGTGGAGAGTTCTATAGATGTCTATTAGGTCCACTTGGTCCAGAGCTGAGTTCAAGTCCTTAATATTCTTGTTAATCTTCTGTCTAATTGATCTGTCTAATATTAACAGTGGGGTGTTAAAGTCTCCCACTATTATTGTATGGGAGTCTAAGTCTCTTTGTAGGTCTCTAAGAACTTGCTTTATGAATTTGGGTATTCTTGTATTGGGTGCATATATATTTAGGATAGTTGCATTGATCCCTTTACCATTATGTATTGCCCTTCTTTGTCTTCTTTGATCTTTGTTGGTTTAAAGTCTGTTTTATCAGAGACTGGGATTGCAACCCTTGAAGTCTTTTGCTTTGCATTTGCTTGGTAGATGTTCCTCCATTCCTTTACTTTGAGCCTATGTGTGTCTTTGCACATGAGATGGGTCTCCTGAATACAGCACACTGATGGGTCTTGACTCTTTTTCCAGTTGGCCAGTCTGTGTCTCTTAATTGGGGCATTTAGCTCATTTACATTTAAGGTTAGTATTGTTATGTGTGAATTTTATCCTGTCATTATGATGCTAACTGGTTATTTTGCCCATTAGTTAATGCACTTTTTTCATAATGTCGATCATCTTTACAATATGGTATGTTTTTGCAGTGGCTGGTACCGGCTTTTCCTTTCCCCATTTATTGCTTCCTTTAGAAGCTCTTGTAAGGTAGGCCTGGGGGTGACAAAATCTCTCATTATTTGCTGTCTGTAAAGAGTTTTATTTCTCCTTTGCTTATGAAGCTTAGTTTGGCTGGGTATAGAATTCTGGGTTGAGAATTCTTTTCTTTTAGAATGTTGAATATTGGCCCCCACTTTCTTCTGGCTTGTAGGGTTTCTGCAGAGAGATCTGCTGTTAGTCTGAGAGGCTTCTTTTTGTTGGTATTCTGACCTTTCTCTCTGGCTGCCCTTAATATTTTTTCCTTCATTTCAACCTTGGTGAATCTGACAATTACATGTTTTTGGGTTGCTCTTCTTGAGGAGTATCTTTGTGGTGTTCTCTCTATCTCCTGAATTTGAATGTTGGCCTGTCTTGCTAGGCTGGGGAAGGTCTCCTGGATAATATCCTGAAGAGTGTTTTCCAACTTGGTTCCATTCTTCTAGTCACTTTCAGGTATACCAATCAAATGTAGGTTTGGTCTTTTCACATAGTCCCATATTTCTTGGATGCTTTGTTCATTCCTTTTCATTCTCTTTTCTCTAATCTTGGCTTCATGCTTTATTTCATTAATTTGATCTTCCATCTCTTATATACTTTCTTCCACTTGATTGATTCAGCTATTGATACTTGTGTATTCTTTACGAAGTTCTCGTGGTGTGTTTTTCAGCTCCATCAGGTTATTTATATTCTTCTCTAAATTGGTATTCTAGTTAGCAATTCCTCTAAACATTTTTCAAGGTTTTTAGCTTCCTTGCATTGGGTTAGAACATGCTCCTTTAGCTCAGAGGAGTTTGTTATTACCCACCTTCTGAAGCCTACTTCTGTCAATTTGTCAAATTCATTCTCGATCCAGTTTTGTTCCCTTGCTGGTGAGGATTTGTGATCTTTGGAGTAGAAGAGGTGCTCTGATTTTTGGTATTTTCAGCCTTTTTGTGCTGTTTTTTTTTTCTCATCTTCATGGATTTATATACCTTTGGCTTTTGATGTTGGTGACCTTCAGATGGGATCCTGAGTAGACATTTTTCTCTTGATGTTGATACTATTCCTTTCTGTTTGTTAGTATTTCTTCTAACCATCAGGCCTCTCTGCTGCAGGTCTCCTGGAGTTTGCTGGAGGTCCACTCCAGACCCTGTTCACCTGGGTATCACCAGCAGAGGTTGCCGGACAGCACAGATTGCTGCCTGTTCCTTCCTCTGGAAGCTTTGTTTAGGAGGGGCACCTGCTGGATGCCAGCTGGAGCTCTCCTGTATGAGGTGTCTGTCGATCCCTGCTGGGAGGTGTCTTTCAGTCAGGAGGCATGGGGGTCAGCGACCCACTTGAGGAGGCAGTCTGTTCCTTAGCAGAGCTCGGGCACTGTGCTGGGTGATCCACTGCTCTCCTCAGAGCTGGCAGTCACGAATGTTTAAGTCTCGAATTTGTTAATTCTTAATAAAAATGATACACATTTCTCATGTGCTCACATGATCACAGCTGTACTGTTAATATAATATGTAGCTGAATGAGAAAATAGTTAATTGAAAAAGTGATTATGATGTGAATAATGCTTTTTAGTAATTTCTTTGTCAATTAAATATTTTTCAGTTTTTATTGTTAATTAAGAAATTGATACACAACTATTGTACATGTTTCTGAGGTGCTTGTGATATTTTGATAAATCTCTATGATAACAATAATTTATTGTTTATTTCAAAATAGCTAGAAGAAAGACTTAGCATGTTCCCGACACAAATAAATGCTATATTTCTTTTTTCCCCCACTAAATATTATGTTTAATGTTTTACTGGTTCATGTAAAAATGTATTTATTTTCACTTCTGACTTGAACATGAGTTGCTTTCAAAGTTACGTTATCTCTGTTACCATAATTATTATTGGACACATTAATAGTTTAGTTTTATGATTACTCTTTTATCATCTGTGTATTCAGAGATCAGTTTACCCTACTTTTGAGATAAGAATAAATGGAAAACATGAATCCTACAAACTGGTTATGACAATCAATGGTAGCAGTACATTTTAAAGAAATATCACTGACCCCAAAAATCCATCAGAGACTATTTCGAGCACCTCTATGCACAAAAACTAGAAAACCTAAAAGAAATGGCTGAATTCCTAGAAACACACTACCTTTCAAGATTCAACCAAGAAGACAGTAAAACCCTGAACAGACCAATAATGAGTTCTGAAATTGAATCAGTAATTTAAAAACTTACAAATCAGAAAAAGCCCTGTACCAGGCAAATTCACAGCTGAATTCCACTAGACATATAAAGAAGTGCTGGTACCAATTCTACTGAAACTATTCCAAAAAATAGAGGAGAAGTTACTCCTCCATGTTATACATGTCCATGTGAAGAGACCACCAAACAGGCTTTGTGTGAGCAATAAAGCTTTTAATCACCTGGGTGCAGGCAGACTGAATCCGAAAAAGGAGTCAGCAAAGGGAGATGGGGTGGGGCAGTTTTCTAGGATTTGTGTAGGTAGTGGAAAATTACTGTTAAAGGGGGTTGTTCTCTTGCAGGCAGGGGCAGGGGTCACAAGGTGCTCAGTGGGGAGCTCCTGAGATTCACTGTCCAGGAGAAGGAGTGTCACAAGGTCAATGCTCAGTTAGGGTGGGACTGGAACAAATCACAGTGGTGGAATGTCATCAATTAAGGCAGGAACTGGCTATTTTCACTTCTTTTATGGTTCTTCAGTTGCTTCAGGCCATCTGGATGTATATGTGCAGGTCACAGGGGATATGATGGCTTAGCTTGGGCTCAGAGGCCTGACATTACTGTCTTCTTATATTAATAAGAAAAACAAAACAAAATAGTGGTGATGTGTTGGGGGCAGCAAAAATTTTGGGGGGGGTGGTATGGAGAGATAATGGGCAATGTTTCTCAGGGCTGCTTCAGGCAGGATTAGGGGTGGCATGGGAACCTAGAGTGGGAGAGATTAAATTGAAGAAACATTTTGTGGTAAGGGGTGATATCGTGGGGTTGTTGGAAGGAGCATTTGTTGTATAGAATGATTGGTGATGGCCTGGATGCAGTTTTGTATGAACTGAGAAACTAAATGGAAGACACTAGGTCTGAATAAGAGAAGGAGAAAAACAGGTATTAAAGGGCTAAGAATTTGGAGGACCCAGGACATCCAATTAGAGAGTGAGTGCCCAAGGGGGTTCAGTGTAATTATTTGCTTGGTTGGTGAGTTTTTGGGCTCTATCCATGAGTTTTTTTAGGTTGTCGTATACCAGGCCAGATTGATTTAGGTAAAAACAATACTCTTCATTTAAAAATATAGAGTCTCCCTTTTTCAGCAGTGAGTAAGTCAAGGCCTCATGGTTTTGGAGGACAACCGCAACTGAAGAGTCAACCTGCGCCTGAAGGACTGATAAAGATTGTGATATGTCTGCAATGCTAGCAGAGAAGTCATTAGAGAGGCTACAGAAGGTTGTGGCAGAGGTTGAATTGCCTGCTATTCCAGTTCCAAGAGCAATAGTGGAGGCAGAAAATATTGGAGTGTGCCCTGCCAGCAAAGATCATCTATCCACTCCAAGAGGGAGTCGAGAGTGGCAGTTTGGGGATAGCACCATGAGATATCAGCTGTGATGGTTTGGAGGAAAAGTGGAAACTGGCAGTGTAAACAAGAGCAGGGCATTTATGAGTAGGTGAGAATGGTGAATTGGAAAATAGCAGGGATGAAAAAGCTTGTGAGTTGCAGTCCAAGAAGTGGGGGCGGGTGTGACTGCATAAAACCCTGTTGTAGAGAGTAAGGCAAGGAAGAACAGACCTAATAAAAATGAAAGGATGTGTTAGGCTTATAAGGGTTATTACTGTTCTTTAGAAATGCGAATGAGTTTTAAGGGAAGTAGGGGAGAGTACTCGCAACTTCCAGGAGGAAGAGGAGAGATCTGGCTGGCTGTCCAATGGACACAGCTTTATTCTGTAATGGTGAACTCAATGGGGAGATTCCTGTAGATGGACGGAAGTTGGGGTGCTATAGATGACTAGGTAGGGTCCGTTCCATCGAGGCTGTAGAGTTTCAGGGGTCAGACTCTTAACAAGAACCGATCATCCAGCTAGGGTGTCTTCATATGGCTGGGAATCTGGAGTAGGCAAGAGAAGATTAGCAGCCTGGCGAATTTCCTGTCTAGCCTGCTGGAGGACTGGAAGATAGTTGCCCAGAGGGCTGGTGTCTGGAATAAGATTGGGGCTGAGCAAGAAAGTGTGTCTATATAAAAGTTCAAATGGACTGTACCCTGTAGCATCTCGAGGGCAGGCTCTAATTCTGAGAAAGGCAAGTGGTAGAAGTACTGTCCAGTCCTTTTTAAGTTAGAGGCTGAGCTTGGTGAGGTGTGTTTTTTAAAGAGCATTAGTCCATTTTACCTTTCCTGAAGATTGAGGACAGTAAGGGGTATGAAGTTTCCACTGAATACCAAGAACCTGAGAGACAGCTTGGGTGATTTGACTAATAAAAGCTGGACCATTGTCAGATTGAATAGAAGTAGGGAGGCCAAATCAGGGAATTATATCTGTTAGAAGGGAAGAAATGACTGCAATAGGCTTTTTGGAACTAGTGGGAAAGTCCTCGAGCCATCCGGTGAAGGTGTCGATCCAAACCAGGAGATACTTAAATTTACGGACATGGGGCATATGAGTAAAGTCTAACTGCCAATCATGAGTTGAAGTAAATCCACAAGCCTGATGCTCAGGAAAAGGAGGAGGCCTGAGAAAGCCTTGGGGGCTGGTGGCATGGCAGACAGAGGATTGAGAGGTTATGGTCTTAAGGATGGACTTCCATGAAGAGAAGGAGATGAGGAGCTGCAGGAATCAAGCCACAGGCTTGTATCCCACATGGAAGTGGTCATGAAGGGAAGAAAGAATGGACTGAGCTTGTGAGGCAGGAAGAATGAATTTTCCATGATTTATAAGAACCACTTGCCTTGAGTTGGAAAAGACTGGTAGAGCAGGTTTTCAGAAAAGTAGGTGGGAGTGTTGGAGGAGAAGGAGAAATACTGGACCTCTGGAGTGAGGGCTGGAATATTAGTGGATGTGGAGGCATCAGCTATTTCTTTTGCCGTCCTGTTGGCATAGGCATTTCCTTTTGCAATAAGATCAGTAGGTTTCTGGTGCCCTTTATAATGAATGACTCCAGCCTTGGCTGGCAGGAAAGCAACCTTAAGGAGGGCCTTTGTTAGGGAGGCATTGATAATGGAAGAGCCTTGTGTGGTAAGGAAGCCTCTTTCAGCCCAGAAGGCAGCATGGTTATGGAGGATATAGAAAGCATATCTGGAGTCAGTATAAATGTCAATGTGCATTCCTTTAGTGAGAGAATGCGGTAGTTAAAGCAATCAGTTCAGCTTATTCGGAAGTGGTGGAGGGAAGTGCAGCAGCTTCAATAGTAGCGGTGTGGGACACGACAACATATCTAGCTTTAGCTGGTGAAAATTGATTGGGTTTAGAAGAACTGCCATCAATAAACCAAGTGTGGTCTGTGTTTGGAATTGGCAGAATAGGAATATGAGGACGGGGGAGGATGCTATGTTTATTAGGGAAATACAGTCAGGTGGTTCAGGACTTGTGCTGGGTGCTAAGTGAGAAAGTGGGTTGAAATCAGGCCTATGGATAATAGTTACTGTTGGAGTTTTAACAAAGAGTGAATAGAGCTGGAGGAGTTGAGGGGCAGACAATAAATGTGAAAGGTATGGGGAGGATATTAATGCTTGAAGGTTGTGAGAACTGTAAAGGGTAAGTGGAGCATAGCCTGTGATTTTGAAGGCCTCTAGAAGTATTAAAGCAGTGCCTGCCGCCCCATGCAGAGCCAGCCCAGAACTGTGAGGTCAAGTTTCTTTGATAGAAAGGCAACAGGTTGTGAGCCTGGCTCCTGTGTGAGGACTCCGGCAGCACAGACTTGTATTTCCGCTGTGTGTAAGGAAAAGGGATGGGACGAGTTGGGGAGTGCAAGTGTAGGAGCTGTCTCCAGGACCTTTTTGAGAAAGTGAAAGGAAGAATGGGGAAAAGACTTAGGATCTATGGGATTAGTTAAGTTATCCTTTGTGAGCTTGTAAAGTGGTTTTGGTTAGAATAGCAAAGCCTGGTATCCAGAGTTGGAAATATCCAACAATGCCTAAGAAGGAAAGGAGTTGTTTGGTGGTGGGGATTGGGGTCTGGGAGATTAACTGAATACGGTCTGCAGGAAGGGCACATGTATGTTGATGGAGGATTATACTGAGATAGGTAACACTAGGAGAAGAAATTTGTGCCTTGGAGGGGGATACTTGGTACCCCTTTCAGTAGAGATGTTGAAGAAGCAGGATAGTGTCCTGCTGGGAAGATTAGTAAGAGGGGCTGCAAAGGAGATCATCAAAATATTGAATAAGGTGAGAGGCAGATGGGGAAGAAGAAAGCAGATCATGAGAAGGGGCCTGGCCAAAGTAGTGTGGGCTGTCCCTGAAGCCTTGGGGCAGAACAGTCCAGGTGAGTTGTTGGGATTAGTGGGTGTCAGGGTCAGTCCAAGTAAAGGCAAAAAGAGGCTGGGAGGAGGGATGCAAGGGGATAGTAAAGAAAGCATCTTTGAGGTCGATAACAGAATAGTGAGTTGTGGAAAGGGTTATTGAAGATAGGAGGGTGTACAGGTTTGGCACTATAGGATGGATGGGAAGGACAATTTGATTAACAAGGTGAAGATCCTGAACCAACCTGTAAGACTTGTCCAGTTTCTGGAGGGGTAGGATAGGGGAGTTGTAAGGAGAATTTGTAGGCTTTAAGAGGCCATGTTGTAACAGGTGAGTTATAACAGGCTTTAACCCTTTTAAAGCCTGCTGTGGGATGGGATATTGGCGTTGAGCAGGGTAAGGGTGATTAGGTTTTAATGGGATGATAAGGGGTGCATGATCGGTTGCCAAAGTAGGAGTAGAGGTATCCCATACGTGTGGATTAAGGTAGGGAGACATAAGGGGAGGATGTGAAGGAGACTTTGAACTGGGGAAAAGGGTGGCAATGAGGTGTGGCTGTAGCCCAGGAATAGTCAGAGAAGCAGATAGTTTAGTTAAAATGTCTTGACCTAATAAGGGAGCTGGGCAGGTGGGGATAACTAAAAAGGAGTGTATAAAAGAATGTTGTCCAAGTTGGCACCAGAGTGGGGGAGTTTTAAGAGGTTTAGAAGCCTGACCATCAATACCCACAACAGTTATGGAGGCAAGGGAAACAGGCCTTTGTAAAGAAGGTAATGTGGAGTGGGTAGCCTCCGTATCAATTAAGAAGGGACTTACCTCCACTGTAAGTTACCTGAAGTGTCTGTGATGGTCCAGGAGGCTTCTGAGGCAATCAGGCAGCATCAGTCTTCAGCCACTAAGCCAAGAAGATCTGGGAAGGAGTCAGTCAGAGAGCCTTGGGGCAGAGTTCCAGGGGCTCTGGGAGTGGCTTTTGGGCAAGCTGGACAGTCCGATTTCGAGTGGGGACCTGCACAGATAGGACACGGCTTAGGAGGAATCCTGGGCTGCGGGCATTCCTTGGCCCAGTGGCCAGATTTCCGGCACTTGAAGCAAGATCCTGGGGGAGGAGGTCCTGGAGGAATGCCTGGCCACTGTGGTTTAGGCGTTTTGAAGTTCTTGTGTGCTGGAGATGTGGCTGGGGTTTCTCTCAGAGCGGAGGCAAGTAATTGCAATCCAGAAATACATTGCCGCTTGGCTGCCTCTTCTCTATTATTGTACACCTTGAAGGCAAGGTTAATTAAGTCCTGTTGTGGGGTTTGAGGGCGGAATCTAATTTTTGGAGCTTTTTCTAATGTTGGGAGTGGATTGGGTAATAAAATACATATTGAGAATAAGATGGCCTTCTGGTCCCTCTGGGTCTAGGGCGGTAAAGCATCTAAGGGTTGTTGCCAAACCAGCCACGGACTGGGCTGGGTTTTTATATTTGATGAAAAAGAGCCTAAACGCTAACCAATTTGGGAGAGGTCAGATAAAGAAAAAAGGAGCATTAATCTTGACTATGCCTTCAGCTCCGGCCACCTCTCTAAAATGAAATTGTTGGGCAGGTCGGGGAGAGCTACTTACAGAAAGAAACTGTAAGCCAGACTGGGTGTGAAGAGGTGAGGTGATAGAAGCATTATAGGGTGGGAGAGTGGAGGTTGAGGAAGAATTGGGACCTGGCTTGGCCTGGTGAGGAGCAGCCTGGGGAGGAGGGGCAAGGTCAGATGGATCTGTAGAAAAAGAGGATTCAAAGGACTCAGAGCTTGGGGTGGAGACTGAAGGAACACATAGGAGAGAAAGAAGAAATATTTGGCACGAGTTGCAATGGGAGCAGAGACTAGGGAGGGACCGATGTGTAAAGAATGCCTGGACATCAGGCACCTCAGACCATTTGCCCATTTTACAACAAAAATTATCTAGATCTTGTAGGATAGACAAATCAAAAGTGCCATTCTCTGGCCACTTGAAACTATTGTTGAGTGTGTATTGGGGCCAAGTGGTATTACAGAAGAAAATAAGATGTTTAGGTTTTAGGTCAGGTGTTAGTCGAAGGGGTTTTAGGTTTTTAAGAACACAGGCTAAGGGAGAAGAAAGGGGAATGGAGGGCAGAAGGTTGCCCATAGTGAAGGAGGTGAGTTTAAAGAGAAAAGTAGAGACACAGAGAAGGTGGGGGTGAGTAGCCGTGGGCTGTAATGTGGGTGAGCAGCCAAAGCAGGTGTCCCCACAACTGACTTGTCACCAAGGGAATGTGGGTGAATGACCAAGGCAGGCATCCTCACGGTGATCAGACACCAGTGGAATGTGGGTGAATGATTGAATGATCAAGGCTGGCGTCCCAGCAGTGATCAGACACCAATGGAATGTGGGTGAATGATCAAGGCAGGCATCCCTGTGGTGATCAGACACCAATGGAATGTAGATGAATGATCAAGGCAGGCATCCCCGCTATGATCAGACACCGAGGGAAGACCATCTTCCCATATCCGTGACCGACGTCGGAGTTTTTGAGTTCACGGATAAAATGTGTCTCCTTTGTTTCCACTAGAGAGGAAAAAGAACTGGAATTGGAAGAACAGGGAGATTGAAGGGTAGCGAGAGAAGCTGGAGAAGAGTGAAGAGACTGCTTACCTGATTTGAAATTGGTGAGATGTTCCTTGGGCTGGTCTGAGGACCTGAGGTTGTAGGTGGATTTCCTCACGGAGTGAGGGTGAGGACAGGGGGCTGGTCTCCTGGAGCAGTCCCCCTGTCCCAGGTCTTCGGCACCAAATGTTATGTGTGTCCACGTGAAGAGACCACCAGACAGGCTTTGTGTGAGCAATAAAGCTTCTTAATCACCTGGGCATAGGCAGAATGAGTCCAAAACAGAAGTCAGCAAAGGGAGATAGGGGTGGGGCAGTTTTATAGGATTTGGGTAGGTAGTGGAAAATTATAGTTAAAGGGGGTTGTTCTCTTGCATGCAGGTGCAGCAGTCGCAAGGTGCTCAATGGGGAGCTCCTGAGATTCATTGTCCGGGAAAAGGAATGTCACAGGGTCAATTGATCAGTTAGGGTGGGGCAGGAACAAATCACAATGGTGGAATGTCATAAGTTAAGGCAGCAACTGGCTATTTTCACTTCTTTTGTAGTTCTTCAGTTGCTTCAGGCCATCTGGATGTATATGTGCAGGTCACAGGGGATATGATGGCTTAGCTTGGTCTCAGAGGCCTTACACTCCCTAACTCATCTTATGAGGCCAGCATCACTCTGATACCAAAGCCTAGCAGAGGCACAACAAAAAAAAAATTTTAGGCCAATATGCTTGATGAACATGGGTGCAAAAATCCTCAGCAAAATACTAGCAAACTGGATCCAGCAGCATATCAAAAACTTAATCCACCACAATCAAGTAGGCTTTATTTCTGGGATGCGAGGTTGGTTCATCACCCACACATCAATAAATGTGATTCACTACATAAACAGAACTAAAAGCAAAAACCATGTGATAATCTCAACAGACAGAAATGGCTTTTGATGAAATTCAACATCCCTTCATGTTAAAAACCCTCAACACACCAGACATTGAAGAAACATTCCTCAAAATATTGAGAGCTATGTATGACAAACCTGCAGCCAACATCATACTACATGGGCAAGAGCTGGAATTATTCCCCTTGAGAACCAGAACAAGACAAGGATGTCCCCTCTCATTACTCCTATTCCAAATAGTACTGGAAGTCCTAGCCAGAGCAATCAGGCAAGAGAAATAAATCAGGCAAGAGAAAGAAATAAAAGTCATCCAAATAGGAAGAGGGAAAGTCAAACGATCTCTCTTCAGAGATGATATGATTATATACCTAGAAAACTCCACTCTCTGCCAAAAGGCTCCTAGATCTGATAAACGATTTCAGAAAAGTTTCAGAATACACAATGAATGTGCAACTATTAGTAGCATTTATATACACCAATAACATCCAAGCTGAAAGCCAAATAAAAATGCAATCCATTTACCATAGCCACAGAAAGAATGAAATACCTAGGAATACAGCTAACCAGGGAAGTGAAAGATCTCTGCAATGAGAATTAAAAAACACTGCTGAAAACCAGAGATAACATAAACATATGGAACAGCTTTTCATGCTCATGGATAGGAAGAATCAGTATTGTTAAATGGGCATACTGCCCAAAGCAATTTACAGATTCAATGGTACTACTAGTGTGAAAGGAAAATGTCTTGAGCCCCCCAAATCACTAAGGAAAACTCAAGCTGGAAACCGCTTAGGGCAAACCTGCCTCCCATTCTATTCAAAGTCAACCCTCTGCTCAGTGAGAGAGAATCATATCTAATTACCTCCTTTGGAAAGGCTAATCAGAAACTCAAAAGAATGTAATCGTTTGTGTATCACCTAGTGTAACCTGGGAGCTCCCTCTCTGCTTTGAGTCTTCTTTCCTTTGCTTCAAGTTGTCCCACCTTTCCAGACCAAACCACTGTACTTCTTACATATATAGATTGATGTCTCATGTCTCCCTAAAATGTGTAAAACCAAGCTGTGCCCTGACCACCTTGGGCACATGTCATCAGGACTTCCTGAGGCTGTCACAAGTGCTTCCTCAACCTTGGCAAAATAAACTTTCTAAATTAATGGAGACCTGTCTCAGACTTTCTGGGTTCACACTAGCAATCTACCAATAACATTTTTCACAGAATTAGAAAAAAAATGATTCTAAAATTTATATCAAACAGCAACAACAAAAAAGCCTGAATAGTCAAAGCAACCCTAAGCAAAAACAAACAAACAAAAAACACAAAACCAAACACACACACACACACACACACACACACACAAAACAAAGCTGGAGGCATCACATTACCTGACTTCAAGCTATACTGCAAGGCTACCATAATTAAAACAACATGGTACTGGTACAAAAACAGACTCATAGATCAATGGAATCAGTTAGAGAACCCAGGAATAAAGCCTCACACTTACAGTAATCTGATCTTTGACAAAGCCAACAATAATAAGCAATGGGGAATGACTCTGTATTCAGTAAATGGCGCTGAAAAAACTGGACGGCCATAATCAGAATATCGAAGCTGGACAACTACTTTTCACTATATACAAAAATCAACTCAAGATGGGTTAAAGACTAAACTGTAGAACCTAAAAGTGTAAAAATCCTAGAAGAAAACCTAGGAAATGCCATTCTGTACATCGGCCCTGACAAATACTTTATAATGAAGACTCCAAAAGCAATTGCAACAAAACAAAAATTCACAAGTATGACCTAATTAAACTAAAGAGCTTCTGCACAGCAAAAGAAACTATCAACAGGATATGCAGACAACCTATAGGATGGGACAAAATATTTGCAAAGTATATCTGACAAAAGTCTAATATCCAGAATCTATAAAGAACTTAAATCAACAAGCAAAGAAAAGGGAATGCTTATACACTACTGGTGGGAATGTAAATTAGTTCAGCCACTGTGAAAAGCAGTCGGAGATTTCTCAAAAAACTTAAAACATAACTACTATTTGACTCAGCAATCCCATTACTTATATATCCAAAGGAATATAAATCATTTAGCCATAAAGACATATGCATGTATATGTTAACTGTAGCACTATTCACAATAGCAAAGACATGGAATCAACTTAGATTGCCATCAATGGTGGACTGGATTTAAAAAATGTGGTTGGCTGGGTGTGGTGGCTCACGCCTGTAATCCCAGCACTTTGGGAGGCCGAGGCGGGCAGATCAGGAGGTCAAGAGATCGAGACCATCCTGGGCAACATAATGAAACCCAACTACTAAAAATTAAAAAATTAGCTGGGAGTGGTGGTGCGCACCTGTAGTCCCAGCTACTTTGGAGGCGGAGGCAGGAGAATCACTTGAACCTGGGAGGCAGAGGTTGCAGTGAGCCAAGATTGCGCCACTGCACTCCAGCCTGGTGACAGAGTGAGACTTCGTCTCAGAAAAAAAAATAAATGTGGTTCATTTTTGAGGGATAGTTTTCCTGGATATAAGACTCTTGGTTCAACGTTCTTTTAGAACTTTGGCTGTCATCCCCACTGCCTTCTAGTCTCCAGTATTTCTGATGAGAAGTCAGATGATAATCTTACTGAGGTTCTCTTGTACATGATGAGTCATTTTCCTCTTGCTGCTTTCAAAACTGTCTCTTTGACTCTAGCTTTTAGTGTTCCTATTATGATGCAACTGAATGTGAATATTTTTACATTAATCCTATTTAGAGAAAGGAGCTTTTTAGATATATAATTTTTTTCATCAACTTTAATGTTTCAGCAATTAATTCTTTGAATATTTTTTTAACTTGCTTCTCTCTGCTCCTTTGATACTTCCATTATGTGTACTTTGGTGTCATCAGTGGTATTCCATACTTGTCTGAGGATCTGTTCATTTTATTTTTTTCTTGTTGCTCAGATTGCATAATCTCTATCAGCCTATCTTCAAGTTCACTGATTCTTTCTTCCATCAGTTCAAATCTACTGTTGAGCTCCTCTAGTGAAGTTTTCACTGTGCTTTTCAACTCTAAAGTTTCCATTTGTTTCATTTTTAAAATACTTTATCTCCCTTTTTAGTAGTCTCTATTTGATGAGACACTCTTATCATACCTTCTTTTACTTCTTTAAGCATGATTTTATTTCCTTGAACATATTTATATTGGTTGTTTTGATCTATGATAAATCTGACATTTGGGGCCTCTCACTGGCAGTTTCTATTGTCTGCTCGTTTACTTGTGTATCAGTCATGCTTTCCTATTTTTTTACAAGTCTCATAGTTTTTTTGTTGAAAACTAGACATTTGAGTAATATAATGTTACTAAATTAAAACTAGACATTGTAGTAACTTTGTATACTGACTCCCCGTCCTGGGTCTTGTTTTATTTTTTGTTTGTTAGTGACTTGGCCAGGCTATTTTAGTAAATTTCCTCCACAGTGTGAAGCCTCTGGTGTTACCCTTCAGAGAGCACAGCCTTGGGCATGGACATAAACAACCTGGGATGAGAATAGTTTGAGCAGGGCTTTGGATGTCTTGTCTTTGCAATGTCATTTGCTGATTTTTGTTAACCAGTCTTCGTCATTTGGTATTATACTCAGCTGGGAGGATCCATTAATTGCTGGCTGGGTGCTCTATTGGTTTTGATAATGCCCTGGGGACATAAATTGCTCCACAGTGTGATCTAATTTTGCAGGGGTAGTTCTTGAGGTCACTTTTTGAGATTTGTTCTGACCCCAGAAAAGCTCTTTCCCTGGTTGTCACTGGTAAACTCACTGTTTTATGGCCTAGCTTGTTGTCTCATAGAGTCTCAGCCTTGTCTTAACTCCTTAGCACCAAATATTCATTGTTTTTTAATGTACCCTTAGGCTTGAACTTTCAACACTCTGCTTCAAATACAGTCAGTTTCTTTGGACAGAGCTTTTGAATGTTCTGTTCTTCCCCTGTCCCTAGACAAAACCTTCTATGCCACTGTTCCAAGGGCAGTGCACTGAAGAGTGGTAGCTTTTACTTTTCTTTGCTTGCCTCTCCCAGTGTTGGACCTCTGTTTATGAGTGAGCTAGGGCAAAGGTGATAAGAGTTCCAGTATTCTTGGCTCAACATGCTTGGCATAGGGTATCCACCTTATGTATGGAGTGCAGGAAGGTAGCCCCAGTCTTTTGTTTAGATCTCTGGGAATGTAGCCTTGACAACTCAGAAGTGAAAGTGATAAGAAATGCTGGCATTCTGCCCCTCTCAGTGAGATACTATATTCCTTGACTGGGAGCTGAGGGGAAAGGAATCCTTTTCTTCTTGGCCACACCTGTCCAGAGTGGAGCTTCCATCACACTGAGCTGGGTAGGAAAGCAGGCTGTGGCTCAAGTGCCATAGACTCTTGCTCTTCTTAGTGAGATTTAGTAGAGTATCTTGAATAAGTATTACTTCATTTGTTGTTTTCTCTTAAGACAATTTTCAGAGACTTGGAATTAAAAAAATTGTATCAGTCATGGTTGTTTTACAGGGCAATGAGCCACACCACCATTATGGAAGTGCCATTATAATTTATGAACATTTCTTTAAAAATCATAACTGATTAAAAGTATTTATAAATCAAAATATGAACATGTTATTATTTTTCAGATATTATCAAAACAAAATTTGAGAAAAAGGATATATCATAAATTTTAATAGAAAATTCAATGATGGATAAACCACGTGGTTCGATAGGACCCAAACGAAACCATTAATATACATAGCAGAAAAATACTGCTTTTCTTAATAAAAATAGCTTTTGACTTTTTATTTCCCCAAAATTAAAAATGTTTCTACAAAAAATGGGCAAATATCCTAAAAGACATTTTGGAAAAAAAGAAATAAACACATATGAAAATAATTTCAATCCTATTCTAATTAGTAAGTTGAAATTGAAAAGTTGAGGCATTTTTTCGTCCTGAAATGGCTTATATTTAAGTGACTGTTAGGAACCAACCATGTTGCAAATGTTTAGAAAATGATCAGTTTCATAATCTATGTGGAGAAGGATAAATTCTTTTTGTAAGACAATTTGCTGTTATCTTTCACAATAAAAATGTACATAAAAATATTTTGAACTAACTTTGATTAATTTCATTTCTAGGAGTTTATTCTGCATGCATCCTAAAATATTTGTGAAACATTACTTTCATGTAAAAAATTGGAAACAGCACACATGATCATCAAGAACGAGCTAGTTAACTGAATATTATATACATTTAACATAATTACACAAGTTTGCATATACTCATATAGAAACAGGGTCAAATTATATTCGTAATTAAAAGTGGTAGAGCATTGAATATATCGTATTTCATTTGAATGATATAATGCAGCATAATTTGTCTTACTGCGACATTATTGGTTTTTGGAGGGTGATGTGCCTCATGTTAGAAGAGTTACATATTTAATTTTCACTTTATACTCTAATAAATATATTCTTTATATATGTAACAAAATTTGAATTATTCAAAATAACTTAAAATTTGAAAATAATTAAGCAATTTATTTTGATTCTGTTACTTAGGTTTGACAAACAACATAGTAAAGGACATATCTTTTTATATAATTCCCAAAGCATTAATGTGATTAAAGGATGTGTGTTTTATCATATACAGTGTCTACCATTGTCTGAGGTGCTTTGATTCTACAACTTAAAACTTTCCAGCTGCTGCAGTTTCTGACTGCACAATATTATACTCACAAAATTAAAATCATTACCAAATGATTTTCTTACAATATGTCAAACAATTTAGTGAGTTAAAAATAGATGTGATTTAAAAAAGTAAAATAAAAAAAGATTCTTGAAAAATATGCATTTTGGTTTAGATCCTTGTCTTAGTCAAATTAAAAAAGAAAACAAAACCTATTAGAGTCTACTAGATCAATGCACTCTTTGTGGCTTAAATTTGTTTGTGTAAGTTCTACTACTAGCTATTTACTGCTAAACTCACTTTCTCACTAATGGTTTGCTCATAAATTTTTTCTTCTAACAAAAAACGTATCAGTTCAAATAAAAAGATGAGAAGTTTTCTTTTCTCAGATGTTTGGTTATTCTTCTTGAAAGCAGACAATTCACTATAAATTACTTTCAAGGGCTTTGGTTTCCTATATTTTTACTGCATTTCTCCTCAACTTCCAAGTTAAAACTAAGATACAACTTGACATTTATTTTTCTGAAGCATCATGTGCATTACGGCTTTTATATTCTAAAGGTGTGAGAAAGGAAAAATGGAACACACATTGGGAATGTTGACGCTGGATTGTGCTTTTATCTGTAGTTATTCATGTTTCAGGCAGTTCATTCCTACTTTCTGAGAAATTGATGAGTTGTTGTGTTTGTCCTTGCTATCTGTCTTTCTGGATAATGGGAAAATTCTCAAGGATTCTGAATAAGAGACTCATATTTGATGTTTAAAGTCAAAGGAGGAGCAAGGGAGATTTTCACATAAGCAGTTATTTACCAGAGGGAAGGGCAGGGCCCAAGGGATCTCATTATGAAGTGAATGGAATTACTGGCATTGATGATCTCACTTTGTTCCTATCCCAAAAGATTCTGTTACTTTAGATTTTAACTTCTCCCAATGCTATGTGAAGCAATTAAAACGTTTCAGATAAATTTCATAGTAGTTCGTACAGCAAAATTACTTTTAGAGTTTTTTCTCTTCAAGGAAATACACAATAAAATAATTAACTGTTCAGAATGAAAGTGAACTAGCTAAAACTCAACCCAATGTCTTTCATTTTCAGACACTAGGAATTTGTCAAAGCAACCAGATCACCAGGGACTAGCAACAATATCTAATAACCCCCTTCTTCAGGGATGATTAGCTAGTTAAGTGCCTGGAATGTCTCTGTAGACAAGACTTGAGGGAAAAAGCTTTAATATTATGTTGCTTCATTGCCAGATCTATTCATAAAGGGATTATTCTACCTCTCAGATGAGAAAATCTGAATCTGCAAACTGGCTTAATATGGAAACTGGGTAAAAAGCCATGAATCCCTATTATATTGTTTCAAGTTATGTTTCTGTCTCCACACCTAGAATTTTTTCTGCTAATATACTCCAGCTAACATCTTAGTAGGTATCTTAGTCCATTTGGGTTGCTATAACAAAATACCATAAACTGGGTAGCTAATAAACAAAAAAAATTTACTTATCATAGTTCTAGAAGTTAGGAAGTCTGACATTAAGGTTCTGGCAGATTGGTGTCTGGTGAAGGCCCCTTTATGGTTCACAGATGGTGTCTTCTCACTGTGTCTTCACATGGTGGAAGAGACAAAGCAGCTCTCTGAGGCCTCTTCTATAAAGGCATGAATTCCATTCAAGAAGGCTGTGCCCTCATGATTTAATCACCTCCCAAGGGCCTACCTGCTAACACCATCACACTGGTGATTAGGTTTTAACATGTTTTGGGGGACACAGACATTCACAATACAGTGGTAGGTTACCAAATATTGTGTTTTTAAGTACCGTTTGATAAACTGTGTATCACTACAGGTCCCTGTAGGTCACAATACCCTAGTCAATGTGACTTACTTGTAGTAACTACTTCCACTTTGTCTATGATGGTGTCACTTCCTGGCATTTAATTTTCCAGAATTATCATTTTTCTCAAGACCATATAATCCAATTTCAGTTTCATTCCCCACCATCAGCTCTGCACCAAAGAATTCAGATGCCACAGAGCATTTTAAGACCACTGATGCCCTCCTCACTGATCCATTTCTTAATGCTATAGGGAAGAAAATGTCTTCCAATCTTATAGCACAGGGTCTTATGTACAGAGGGCAGATGGCCATACTGTATTAGATTACAAAATCTCTATTGACTACTGATTCCTTATTTTACAAGGTACTGTGGAAATTCTAGCTTTTCAACCTCATTAGCTATAGGCTATCTCTGAGTTCAAGCTTCAGTGAGCTAATGTGAAAGAAGATCAATAACACTTTCAGGAGTTTGAGCCAATGCTTGTATCCTGTGCTCTGGGTGATAGCACTCATGTCATTAAATTCAGTTCATTCAAGCTCTGTATTTCATATTCCTTGACATCCACCCCCAAACATACTCTTAAAGTTCTCATCTATATCGTAAGAAACTGCATATCTTTTTTTGTTAATAGACCATGTTATTATGGAGCAGTATTTGTGTTTAACCGTATCTCTTTGTTGTTATAATTTTCCCTGATGATTGGTGAAGTTGGGCACATTTTCATGTGTTGGCCATATGGCTATCCTCTTTTGTGAAGTGATTGTTCTATCACGTTGTTTGTGTTTTTTCTTACTGATTTGTAGAAATTCTTTTTATATTCTGAATAGTTCTTACACACACACACACATTGCCTCTCTTAATGGACCTCCTTTATATATTTGATTTGTTAATATTTAGGGATGTTTGCAACTGTGTTTATGAAAGATACTGATAAACATTTTTTATTTTTTTGTAAATCCTTGTAATGTTTTTAAGTCTAGCTTATGCTGGCCTTATAAAAAGAATTAATGAATACAAAATGTTTACTTACTACCAACTTATATAAAAAAGATTAGTGAAGTTGTTGAATGAACACAAAAATTTAAAACTAAGAATGATTTATTAACATTGTAACCATATCAACATCCATATCCAATCTAGTCCTACATTTTATTTTAGTAGCAAAATTTTGAGAAAGTCCAGATTCCTGCAGCAAATAGCTACAAATAGAAGTATATTTTAGACCAGTAACCTAATATGTCTTAAAATAGGTAGAGATGGCAGGAGTATTTGGAATCTAAACAAAAATGTTTTAATCTTAATAGGAACAGATGAATGGTGAATTATAGCCAAAACTCA
This sequence comes from Homo sapiens, assembly GCF_000001405.40. Taxonomy (NCBI): domain Eukaryota; kingdom Metazoa; phylum Chordata; class Mammalia; order Primates; family Hominidae; genus Homo; species Homo sapiens. The sequence continues at coordinate 527,546 of NT_167245.2, forward strand.
TAGTTAACACATGAATTAATGAATTTTTGTTATAGTATAATAGTTTAATTATATTTAAAATTATTAAATAATATAAATTATAATCTGAATTTAATCTTTATAAAATGCTCCCCCGTACCCCAGTTGACATAACCCTTAGACTTTACGGAACCTGTTTTGTTGCCACAACTGTAGATGAATCATCCAAGATAATAAGTAGTGTTTTTGAAAGACATTTTTAATTTTTTAAAGAATGAACCCTTGACAATGAGGGACATTGATACTAAAATACAAGCAAAATTTTTAGGTATTTTCTTTTTCAGATGATGACTACTACTAAAATAAGTTGACTATAATTTAAAGGTTAGACAAAGATAATTTCTTTATTGGGAATTTCTTTTTTTATTTTTATTTTTTGTTTGTTTTTGATTCGGAGTCTCGCTCTGTCGCCTAGGCTGGAGTGCAGTGTAGCGATCGCGGCTCACTGCAAGCTCCGCCTCCCGGGTTCACGCCATTCTCCTGCCTCAGCCTCCAGAGTAGCTGGGACTTCAGGTGCGAATTTTTTGTATTTTTAGTAGAGATGGGGTTTCACCATGTTAGCCAGGAGGGTCTCGATCTCCTGACCTTGTGATCCCCCTGCCTCGGCCTCCCACAGTGCTGGGATTACAGGCGTTAGCCACCGTGCCCGGCCAGGAATTTCTTGTAAAAAGATGTTAGTGACCTATTGTGTCTCCAGAACCTTTTTCTTTTCCAATAAGCCTTTTCATGGCCCACTTGAACTCCTTATTCCTTAGTGGGATGGGTTCAAGGTGGGAGTAACAATGGAGTAAAATATATGGAGAAGTTTGCCCTCATCCTGAGATGGACTGTTTCCTGGCTCTATATACATATATCTAACAGTCCCATAGAAGATGGATACCACAATGAGATGGGAGAAACAGGTCCCAAATGCTTTTTGTCTTCCTGCTGCAGACTTGATCTTGAGTACAGCCACAGCAATGAAGCCATATGACACAAGAATGAGAAGAAGTGATGCAAGGAAAATGAAAACAACAACAACAACACAATGCAAATAAGGTTTCTGACAGAGCAGGAGCATCACCATCTTGGACAAGCCCCTTATTCTATAGTTCATTTTAATAAAAAACCACCTAATCCAAAGGGCCTCAGCCTAATGGCTAAGGTCAGCACGACCATAAACCACAAATAACATCCCAACCAGAAACCTTCCAAACTCCTCCCCGACCAGAGTCATGCTAGCCTCTAGATAAGCCCTCTCAAGCTGGGAAGATGCTAGCCCAGAGATAACCCCCCTCCAGGCCAGAAAGATGTCTGCCCCAAGATAACCTCCCCTCTTCCCAGAGAGATTCCAACCCCGCCATAAACTTCTCCACACACATAAACATTCCAAGCTTGTAATAAGCCCCCTCACCCTAAAACCAATATATGTTCTTAGCCCCCTCACCCTAAAACCAATATATGAAATCAGCCAGGAGTGCTGTCAGGTTTTAATTAAGGAAAACCTGTCTTTAACTGCCAGCCACGTTTCGTGTTTCTTTCTTCTTTCTTTAACTCTTACAGTTTCCTCCATGACTGTGGTAGCCCCACATGCAATTTTGACCATTGCAGATATTTCACAAAAATAGTGATCCAGGTGGTGGTCTCCGCATCGAGGAAGACTCACAGGACAGGGGGAAAGTATCATGCAATTAGTGACACCAATTAACCAGGTCATGGCCACCAGGCCTTGACAGAGTTGGGGGTTCATTATGGTCATATAGTCCAGAGGCTTGCAGACAGCATTGAATGGGTCATATGACATCACAGCCAGAAGCATACATTCAACCGTGCATAGCGTCACATTAGTGAAAAGTTGAAAAGCACAGCCACCAAAAGTGATTTTCTTGTCTTTACCCCAGGCATTGACCAACATCTGTGGGACTATATTTGTGGTGTAACAAAGATCCAAGATAGCCAGATTTCTAAGAAAGAAATATATGGGGGTTTGGAGATGTTTATCCAGTAATGGCAGCAGGATAAGGACCATATTTCCCATCAAAGAAATTGCATAGAAGAAAAAGACAACCCCAGAGATGATCATCTCCAGCTGAGGCTTCCCAGGGAACCCAAGGAGCATAAGCCAACCAAAGTAACTATCATTGATCATTTTTGCTATTTTCTGAATATCAGCTGTGAAAATTTAAAAAATAGTCAACATTTTGGAAGCCATAATGAATATATTTAGATATAATATTAGCAGTATATATAGCTAGGAAAAGTACATAATGGGATTGAAAGAAAATATAAGTATTTTATATTTCACCATTGTTCTAATGTTTTATCTGTTTATCCAACTAAGTGTAAAATTTATACCCAGGGCAATTTGCCTTACAAGGTCTATATTCTCAATTACATTGTATATTTCTATACCAAGGCAAAAAAAAAAAAATCTACAAAAATCTCAAAGGTGAATCATGAGCAAAATGGCTAAATAAAACTGGATGGATCTCCCCTTATTAAAAAGGATATTACGAAGGGGTTAGAAATCTGTTACAAGTTATCACCTCCTTTAGCCAAGGGTTCATAGAGAATGCAGGTTTTATACCTTTTATGCCTTTTTTCTAATATTTAAGCTGAACAGTTTTAATCCTGCTGTCCACCTTCACTCTGCTATGTAAATCTTCTGACCTTAAATTTTTAAAATTCAAACTTTTTTCTTTCATCTCAAAACTTGTATTTCCAAATATTATTTGCCTTTCCTTTCCAACTCCCTTGAGACAGCCAGGTGGGAGGTGTTCCCTGGAGAAACTCCAACCAGCCTGCCCACTGAGGTGGAGCCTCCAGAAGTTCATGATGTTTGCCACAGGAAGGAGCCTGGCTCCTCCTTTTCCTGTGTGGAACCTGGGATTCAAACACCTGGTCGGGAAGCACTGTAGCAGGGACTCTGGCCTTCCAAGAGCCCGTGTTTCCCCCTTTACACCCAATAAAATCCTGTCTTACTCACCATTTAAGTTGTGAGTCTGAATTTTCATGGCCATGGGACAAAGAACCCCCTTTTTAGCTGAACTAAGGAAAAGTCCTGCAATATTTTTTGGCACACAATGTGAGGGTTTGAGAAGCAATGAGTGAGGTGCAAACTCACAGTTCCACATGGCTGGGGAGGCCTCACAATCATGGCAGAAGGTGAAGGAGGAGCAAAGTCACATCTTACATGGCATCAGGCAAGAAGAGTGTGCAGGGAAAATTCCCTTTATAAAACCATCAGATCTTGTGAGACTTATTTACTATCACGACAACAGCATGGGAAAGACCCATTCCCATGATTCAGTTACCTCTCACTGGGTCCCTCCCATGCTCCCATGCAGGAATTATGGGAGCTACAACTGAAGATGAGATTTGGGTGGGGACACAGCCAAACCACATCAAACACTGAAATAGAAAAAAAAAGACTTGAAACAAACCCACAGATCTGTGGAAATTTATTTATGACAAAGACAACACTACAGAAGAATAGAGAAAAATTATAATTTTCAATATATGGTGCTGGACCAATGGGATATTAATTAAAAAAATAAATTTGTCCCAACTTATACTGTGTATAAACATCTATTCCAGATAGATTGTAGATTTAGATGTGAAAGGGAAAAAGTATCTTCTAGAATAGGGTACGGAAACTTTTTTGGAAAGGCCAGATAGTAAATATTTTAGGCATTGTGTGTCATCAGGTCTCGGTCACAACTACTCAACTCTGTAGTTGTAGTGCTAAAGCAGCCATAGACAAAAGTAAGTAACTGGGTGTGGCTGTGTTCCTATAAAACTTTATAAAACAGACACAAGTGGCCCACTGGCTACAGTTTCCCAACTCCTGTTTTAGAAATCAATATGAAATAATAACTTTATGGTATTATTAGGTATTATTAGGAAGAGGAATTATTTCTGTAACTGGTCTTAAAAATCACTGACAGGTAAAAAATGATGAATACACTTCAATCATTGAAACTACAAAATTCTGTTCATCAGGTGACACCATTAGGAGTCAAAAGACAAATCACAGAAAAGGAAGAGATATTTTTAGTGCTTGTGCTTGTTAAAAGGCATATCCAGAACATATAAATACTTCATATCAATAAGAAAAATAGTAAAAAATTGCAAAAACCTGAATAGATAAATCTCAAAGGGTAAACATAAGTGGCCAATGCATTTGTGAAATGGATGGTGCTCGTTTGCTTCAATAATCATAAAAGCAAAAATTATACCCATCATGCACTCACATCAGATTGACTAAAATTAAAAAGAAACCTAAGAAAACCAAATATTGATGAAGATGTAGAGCAATGGAAACACATACACTGATAAGTGTTTAATATGGTGCAACCACTCTGGAAAATTTTGGCAGTGTTTCAAAAAACCTGAGTACAAATATACAATGAGGATATATATACATATGCAAGATGAGCCAAAATACATGCATAAAATATTCTAAGCAGAATTGTTTCTGAGGTTTGAAAACGTGAAAAACTATAATTTTTATGAAGACAGAATAAATAAATAAGTTGTATATGTATATTATGAAGTATTTACAGCTGTGGAAATAAGTGAAGTACAGAAATGCTTAATGCATAGATGAATCTTAAAAATATAATGTTATTTGAAAGAATTCAAGTACAACAGAATCCATGTATATAAAAATTAAAAAAATTAAACCATATTATTTGGAGATGCATAGTTAGGTAAGACATCTGTAAAGGAAAGGAAAAGTGTGAAATCTATATATGTAAGAATAATAATTAATGTTGAGAGAGAAGGATAGGGATTATAACCATGAAGCGGCACTTTGGCCACCTCTGAGTACATTTTTCTAAAACTTGACTTGGGTGGGCTTTTGGGTGTTCCATCACAGTGTATTGTACAATAATTCTTTAAGGTGTACATTTATGTTCTTTTGATCTGAAAATTTCTCCTGTCTGCTTTTGGTAACTTCCTTTTCTCTGTTTTCTCTCTCTTCTATTTTTTGAAAGATGTTGGAATTCCTGGAAAATGTGGCGTTCTTAATAGTCATAAAAGTACTAAATATATACTGCAAAATGCTAGGTGTGTCTCTGAGATTTAGGACAACTTCTGAAAGTACTGTCATTAACGGAGAAGCTGGAATAAAAAGAAAAGTCACTCCAGAGCTTAAGTAGTTCCTACAAGTATCTCAATTTATGATGCTTCAAAACAGCTATTGAAACAATTTTACTTTAACTTATCTAATGGAGTATTTAGACTTCAAAATCCTATTAAGTTCATTTTTCATCCTCAAGAACTACAAAAATATCAAAATCAAATATTCTAGATTTTTCATTTTATTTAAGTTTTCTACTTTCTCAAGGGAGAAAGAGGGTATAAGGAATAAAATTAATCACTCTAGCTTTTTTAATAAAAAGTCTTTTTGGCATGAATGGAATTATGTGACTGTATAAATAACTAGGACATGAGCAAGAGATGGAGCAAGAAAAAGTGATATTGGATATTGGATCAGAAACATAAAGGAAGTTTTCAAAAATTCTTTTTCAAGTTACAAGTTGGTAACATAGCTCTGAACTATCCCATGAATCAACATTTATCTTCAAGACAAAAATCAAATTTATCTTCAGTCAAAATATGGAAAGGATAATAACTCAACAAAAATGAGAAAGAAATGCATTTAAAAACACACTTCAGAAAAAGACAGAAAGACCATTTCAATAGCCAAATAAATCACCTTTCTATGTGTCAGTTTTCTTGAAGCACTCAGAGAAAAAATGTAGAACATCTAAAACCAGGTGACATGGCAATACCTCCATGCTCATCCCCAAAATAAGTAGTAAAAACTTGGAAGGCCAAGTGGGAAAGAAAAAAGCATTATCTTAAAGATGATTATTGGAACTGATAAAAATATTTTTCTTTTGTGATCACAAAAATTGAGCTCCTTGAGTAATTATCTAAGCAGAGAAAGATAGGGGGAAATTACTGTGGTTAATTAACATGAGATCTTTTCAAAGATGATTGATAACTAGAACTCTTGGTCTTCTTGGTTAACGACTAGCTTTGCTGCTGTCATCTTCAGGCTGGAGATTTGCCTGTGTAAAAATATTCCTGGGACTGGTTGGAGCAAAAGTGTTGTACCTTAAAATAGAGGGCAATGAAAACAGCTTTTAATCTCCTTAAATTAATGACAATATTTAGTTAACATAATCAAAGGAGACTATTAGAGTTAAATTGGTCAATATCAATATAATTGTAACATATATAATCCAAAAGAAATCAGTGCATAGCATGTTATTTTTAGTGTTGGCACTTTAGTTTATAATTTCATTTTAAATATGAGTTTTGTACATATACCAATCATCATGGATTAAGTATTCAATAAATACATTCGGCTTAATTATAATTTTTATTATAATTTTATTATATTTTTAATGGATATTATCTTTATCTCAGGTGTAGACAATTTATTTACAAAATAAATTGTCTACATTTTAGATTGGGAAGATCAATTGCCATATTAGAAATTGCTGGGAGGAAGAATCAATGTCCTCTTTTTTCCATGCAATCTTTTTCTTTTCCAGTTAGCCTCTTCATGGCCCCCTTGAACTCCTTATTCCTTACCGTATAAATTAATGGGTTCAAGCTGGGAGTAACAATGGAGTAAAATATACTGAGAAGTTTGCCCTCATTCTGATTTGGACTGTTTCCTGGCTGTATATACATGTATGTAACTGTCCCACAGAAGATGGATACCACAACGAGATGGGAGGAACAGGTCCCAAATGCTTTTTGTCTTCCTGCTGCAGACTTGATCTTGAGTACAGCCACAGCAATGAAACCATATGACACAAGAATAAGAAGAAGAGGAACAAGAACTATAATCAGGCACATGGCAAATGTGGTTACCTCCATGGCTGTGGTGTCCACACATGCAATCTTGAATCTTGATCATTGCAGACATTTCACACACACAAAAAAGTGGTCTAGGTGGTGGTTCCTACATCGAGGAAGACTCGTGGCATAAGGGGAAGGTATGATGCAATTAATCACACCAACTACCCAGGAGATGACCACAAGGCCCTGGCAGAGTTGGAGGTTCATTATGGTCATATGATGCAGAGGCTTGCAGATAGCATTGAGTCGATCATATGACATCATGGACAGAAGGATGCATTCAACTGAGTACAGTGCCACATCAATGAAAAGTTGAAAGGCACACCCACCAAAGGTAATTCTTTTGTCTTTGCCCCAGATACTGACCAACATTTGTGGGACTATATTTGTGGTATAACAGAGATCCAAGATGGCCAAATTTCTAAGGAAGAAGTACATGGGGACTTGGAGATGGTCATCTAGGAAAGACAATAGGATGATGGCCATATTTCCCATGAAGGCAATAGTGTAGAAGAAAAAGACAACCCCAGAGATCATCATCTGAAGCTGAGGCTGCCCTGTGAATCCAAGGAGTATAAAACCACTGAAGTGGCTATCATTGATCATTCTGTTTTTTCTTAAGGGAAATCCATGTCATCATTTTGGTAAAGGGCAACGGTGTGATTTTCTTATTTATTTTGCATTGGGTTTGGTGAACTTCTCGGATTTATGGTGGTGTCATTAATTTTGGAAAATTCTCAACCATTATTTCTTAAGATTTTTTTCTGTTTATTTCTTTTTCTTATATTCTGGAGCTCCAAGTACTCATGTGTCAGAGGAGATAATATTATCCTACATAACTTGGATGCTTTTTCTTTTTTCTCTTTGGGTTGAAGTTTGGATAATTTCAATTGACTTGTATTTCAGTTCATGAATTCTTTCCTCTACTGAGTCCAGCCTATTGTTAAGCCCACCAAATTAATTATTTATTTCTTATATTATTTCTGGTATGTTTTTTTTTATATCCAACATTTCCATTTGGTTCTTCTGTACAATGCTAATCTCTTTGTTGAGATCTCCCCTTTGTTCATAAATCTTGTCTGCCTTTACCAGCGAAATGTTAAAACATATTTAAAAAATTCTTATCTGATGATTCTAATGTCTGAACCATGTCTGGATATACTTCACTTGAATATTTCCTCTTTTTAGCTTCAAATGACTCCTGTTTCTTTCTTTTTCTTTTTTCTTTTTCTTTCTTTTTTTTTTTTTTTTTTTTTTTTTGAGACGGAGTCTTACTCTGTTACCCAGGCTGGAGTGCCTGGGTGATCTCTGCTCACTGCAACCTCTGCCTCCCAGGTTCAAGTGATTCTCCTGCCCCAGCCTCGCTAGTAGCTGGAATTACAGGCGTGCACTGTTTCTATTTTTCTTGCTTGTTAGTGTGCCTCATAGTGTTTAATTTTTATTTTATGCCAGGCATTGTGTGTCTTGGTCAGCTTGGGCTGCTCTAACAAAATACCACAGGCTGGGTGGAATAAACAACAGACACTTATTTCTCAAAGTTCTGGAGGCTGGGAGGTTTAAGATAAAGGAGTAGGAGGTGCAGTTCCTGATGAGGCCCTACTTCTTGACTTGCAGACGGCTGCCTTTTCACTTGCTGTTCCCTCAAGTGGTAGGGAAAGAGTGTGCTCTTCCTTTTATGGTCCCTCTTCCTTTTATGAGGTCACTAATCCCCTTATGGAGGCCCACCCTCATGACCTGATTTAAACCTAATTACTTTCCAAAGGCCCCATCTCCAAATACCATCACATGGAGGGTTAGGGCTTCAACATATGAATTTTGGGGGTACACAGACATTCAATCCATAGCATTCTGCCTTTTGTCTCCCAAATTAATGTTATTCTTACACACACAAAAAAAATGATCTTATTTCAGTAGCCCCCAAAGTCTTAACTTATTCCAAGATCAACTCTAAAATTGGAAGTCCTGTCTCATCTAAATATCATCTAAATCAGATATAGGTGAGGCTCAAGATACGATTAATCCTGAGGAAAAATTCATCCCCAGTTATAAGTCTGTGAAACCAGATAAATTACACACTTCCAAAATACAATGATAGATTAGACATAGAATAGGCATTCTCATTCCAACACCTGGAAGAAAGAAAGGGGTGGCAGGTTCCAAGCAAATCTAAAATCTTGTAATGCAAATACCATTAGATCTTAAAGCTCAAGGATAATCTTTGGTTTCATAATTTGCCTTCTGGGTCTACTGGGATGACAGTCCCACTTTCTGGACAAACTGGGATAGTAGATAGTCGGACCTCTGTAGCTCTGCAGGGAAGGGGTCATGTCCTCATGACTCTTCATTGTACCCAAAAGGCTCTGGCAGCCACTCTGACACCAACTGCCCATTGAAACTGAGATGATAGCCCCAACCTTTAAATCTGAGGTGGCAGCCCAGATAATCTCTAAAACACCTTTAGGGTCTTTCTTCCCTTGTCTTGAAGAGTAATATCACACATTCACATCTGAATAGCTCTATGGTCCAGTCCCAAAGAATCTAAGAAGTCTGACAGACTTTCTTCATTTTATCCCATTCCCATCTCCTTCAGTTCAGACTGACAGTGTTTCTGCTTATATAATCCCGTAATCTCTTTATCGAGTGAGGGTCCAGCCACACCTTTGGTGGTTTTTTTTTTTTCTCAGCATGCTTTCTCATCTTTTGCAGTGTGGATAGGCTGAGAACTTTCCAATTTTTTAAGTTCCAGCTCCTTTTTTTTTTTAACAATTCCTTTTTTGATTCATTTATCTCTTTTTTTTTTCTTGCATCTTAGTAGAAGCAGTCAGGATGAACAAAGTGACTCCTTCAACACTTTGATTAGAAATGTCAGCTATGTTCACTGTTAATTTCATCACTTACTAGTTTTACATTCCACAAAACAATAAAACATGAACATAATTCAGCCAAGTTCTTTACCACTTTATAAAAAGAATCACTTTTTCTCAATTGTCCAATAGCTTATTCTTCATTTCTGTCTAAGCCTTCCCCAGAATGACCTTTACCATACATATTTCTGCCAACATTCTGTTTATAATTATTTATGTATTCTATAAGAAAATGGAAGTTTTTCTCCAGCAGTCTTATATTCTGTATAAGCCCTAAACAGAATAGCTATTATTGTGCATATTTATAGCATGCATCCCCAAATTCCTTAACTTCTACCCCTTTTCCAGTTTTAAAGCCACTTCTACATTTTCAGCTACATCCCACTCCTGGTACAAAAATATGTCTTAGCTCAGGATGTTATAACAAAATACCATAGCTTGGGTGGCTTAAACAACAGACATTTATTTCTCATAATTCTGGAAGCTGGAATGTCCAAATTTAAGGTGCCAGAAAATTTAGTTTTTGGTGAAGTCTCTCTTGCTGACAGACCTTTCACTGTATTCTCACATTGTGTAGATAAAACTCTGATCTTTCTTCCTTTTCTTATAAAAACACTAACCCTGACATGGGGGCCCCACTCTCATGACTGCATCTAAACCTAATTTAACTTCCCAAAGACTCTACCTCCAAATATCATCACATTGTGGTAAGTGCTTCAACATATAAATTTGGAGTGACACAAACAGTCCATAACAATTTGTAAAAAATACTTGTAGGGACAGAAATAAATAGTAAGTAGTATTTATCCTCAGGATAGGACACATTCCTTATTTATCAGGGTATGAGTATGGGGAACTCAGACTGTCTGATGTGTAGCTAAGCTTAAACCTGTTGTAAACTTGGTTAAATTCAGTTAACCACTGTCTTCAACTATTTTGAAGGAAGGGTGGGCCTGAATTCTGGTGAGAGTCCAGATAAGTCTTGATGTTTTATAGTGAGGCTACCAGCCTTTTGGACTACGGGAGATTTCTCTTTGCTTTATAGTCTGGCTGCCAGCCTTTTGGGTCAGTGGGGACTTCTATTTGCTTCCCAGTCCTGTCCCTAGCTTTCTGCCCTTTGAGGGCACTCCCAAACTTTGGAAGGACACTTCAGCACACATTATGAAAGCTTGTAGTGCATTGGAGTGAATTATCTTAGCTTTTCTGCTGCACTTGTGGCAAAATACCCATCCAAGTTTGCTCCTGTAGTGTTGAGAATATCTAGATAGTTTCAAGTAAATTACAGTGCTATCAATCCCAAAATAAAAAAAAAATCTTTGTTTTCATGTCAGGTCACCCTATTTCTTTTGTTTGGTGAAATGACCATGATTTGGCTGAAGTTTTTGAAATGATATCTGAGGCAATACCTTTAAAGAGGGTATCAGTTATCATGATTAATCACAACACAACTAGGTAGGATGTTTCTGTCTCCCTGGAGCATGCTGAGAGATGACACTTGTTGTGTGCCCATCAGACTAACACTAACAGTGTGTCAGGAGACAGAAAATAATGATAAAATTTGCCATTTTAAGCTACAAAAATCTTGGGGATTATATTGGAATGGATTGTCATGAAGAGAGAAAACATTTGACTGAACCAAATGTGGATTAAGCCAAATTTATCAACATGAGAGCCCTTAAAAGATATTCTAATTTTATGTGCTGGCTCAAACAGCTGGGAGAAGCTAAGACCATTTCTTCATTGGGTTGATTTAAAAACTCAACTAACCAGGGTGGAGCCAAAATGGCCGAATAGGAACAGCTCCAGTCTACAGCTCCCAGCGTGAGCAACACAGAAGACAGGTGATTTCTGCATTTCCAACTGAGGTACTGGGTTCATCTCACTGGGGAGTGCCGGATAGTGGGTGCAAGACAGTGGGTGCAGTGCACCATGTGTGAGCCGAAGCAGGGCGAGGCATCGCCTCACCTGGGAATCACAAGGGGTCAGGGAATTCCCTTTCCTAGTCAAAGAAAGGGGTGACAGACAGCACCTGGAAAATTGGGTCACTCCCAACCTAATACTGTGCTTTTCCAATGGGCTCAACAAACAGCACATCAGGAGATTATATCCAGCACCTGGCTCGGAGGGTCCTACGCCCAAGGAGCCTTGCTCATTGCTAGCACAGCAGTCTGAGATCAAACTACAAGGCAGCAACAAGGCTGGGGGAGGGCACCCACCATTGCCAAGGCTTGAGTAGGTAAACAAAGCGGCCAGGAAGCTCGAACTGGGTGGAGCCCACCACAGCTCAAGGAGGCCTGCCTGCCTCTGTAGGCTCCACCTCTGGGAGCAGGGCACAGACAAACAAAAGGCAGCAGTAACCTCTGCAGACTTAAATGTCCCTGTCTGACAGCTTTGAAGAGAGTAGTGGTTCTCCCAGCACGCAGCTTGAGAACTGAGAACGGGCAGACTGCCTCCTCAAGTGGGTCCCTGACCCCCAAGTAGCCTAACTGGGAGGCATCCCCCAGTAGGGGCGGACTGACACCTCACACGGCCAGGTACTCCTCTGAGACAAAACTTCCAGAGGAACAATCAGGCAGCAGCATTTGCGGTTCACCAATATCTGCTGTTCTGCAACCACTGCTGCTGATACCCAGGAAAACAGGGTCTGGAGTGGACCTCCAGCAAACTCCAACAGACCTGCAGCTGAGGGTCCTGACTGTTAGAAGGAAAACTAACAAACAGCAAGGACATCCACACCAAAAACCCATCTGTACGTCACCATCATCAAAGACCAAAGGTAGATAAAACCACAAAGATGGGGAAAAAACAGAGCAGAAAAATTGGAAACTCTAAAAATCAGAGCGCCTCTCGTCCTCCAAAGGAATGCGGCTCCTCACCAGCAACGGAACAAAGCTGGAGGGAGAATGACTTTGACAAGTTTAGAGAAGAAGTCTTCAGAGGATCAAACTACTCCTAGCAAAAGGAGGAAGTTTGAACCAATGGCAAAGAAGTTAAAAACCTTGAAAAAAAAATCAGATGAATGGATAAACAGAATAACCAATGCAGAGAAGTCCTTAAAGGACCTGATGGAGCTGAAAACCATGG